>NC_000002.12:18873391-19024906 GCF_000001405.40 Homo sapiens | reverse complement strand
TTTCTGTCAATATTTTGATGCTGAGAAACCTCTCAATAATTCAATGATGAATTTTAAGGGTGTGGAGGGACCCCAAGATCTGTGGCAACAGAATTCGGGATGATAGGTCTTGTGTTGGAGGAGCCTGTAGTCTGCAGCAAAACAAAAAAAAATCACAACAACAAAGAAACGGGGTGCTGCCATCGTCCGTGTACGTCTGAATTAAGGTGGCCTAGAGAAGGAAACAGGTACTTCCGCTGGCTTGAGGAGTCAGGAAGGGCAGGGGAGAGAGAGAGAAAGAGAGAGAGAGAGGATGATGATTGATACAGGTCTGCATGGATGAGGCGTCATCGGTCAGATATATGGAGTGGGGCAGGAGTTGGAATGCATTCCAGGGGAGGGGAGAACTTGAGCAGGAATGTTTAGGTATCAGAGAGTCTTAGCATTTGGGAGAATGCAGTGGGCAGGTGATGGCTAGAAATATGGCTTGAGCTAAAAGTTCAAAAATCTAAATGTCGTACAAAGGAGTTTGGTCTTTACTCTATGTGCATTGGAGGCATCTGAGGTTTTTAACCAGGGGATAAAATATGTGCTGTGGAAAGATCGTTTGTGTGTTCTGGAGAGATGGAATGCTGCACTTGCAGAGCATCTCTGGATAAATCTAAACAACAGTGTAACACTGACAGATAGTTAACTGTGCCCCAATATCTATCTTATTCTACTTATATATAATAATAGACATTTAAGCCAGGCATATGACTATTCAGAAGGAAGATGAATTTCTCAGGTTTCCTTACAGTTGGTATGGCCATGAAACTAAGTTCCAGCCAATGAGACTTCAGCTTAAAGATTGTGGCTGCTCCTGGATCTTTTTCTTAAAAGACCTCTGGCACACATGGAGGCATCTCTTGTCTTCTTGCTGCTACTTAGAATGCAAATGAGAGGTCTACCCATTTGGGCCACTTTTTGACAAGGCCAAGTTGAATTGAAAAGGCCAATTGATTTCTTCTTCATTGAATTGCTTTCCCACTTTTGTTAAAAGTCAGTTGGGCTTATATGTGGGGGTCTACTTTTGAGTTCTCTATTCTGTTCCATTGATCAATGTGTCTATCTCTCTGCAAAGAACACATTGTGTTAAACACGGTGATTATATAGTCTGCTTTTATGTCAGGTAGAGTAATTCCTCCCAACCTATCATTCTATCTCAAAACTCATGATCCATTTGAAGAAACACATCATAACCTAAAATACACATACATGTGTATGCACATATATGTGAAACATGTTTGATGAAAAACTTACATTGATTATTTGTGATATGGCCTAATTTTTTTCTAACTATACTATTGTATTCTATTTCATTCTATTTTTTCATTCAAACATACTGGTCATGATACACTAAAATGACTTCATTATCATCTAATGGATCTCTTGATCCGCAGTTTAAAAAACACTCCACTGGAAGGAGAGGGTAGTGCATATTGACCATAAATCCACCATATCCCCCATAGATGAAACCTATAGTGAAAGCCTCATTGGAGGTGGAACAAACAATGAAGTTGTCCCACTGCACATCAGGTTTCTTTCCACTTGGGAGAAGGGCTTGTAGGGGACATAAAGCCCATTTTTTGAGGATGTTCTCACCAGGAAAAAAATCTCCAGTCTCTAAATATGGGATTGGTTTTCTTTAAAAATAAAAAAAATGCTCAATAAGAAACTTAAAAACTGTAAAATGATATTCATTTTCATGCTAATCAGCAGACCAATTTTTCTTTACATATTGTCTTTTATCCTTATACTATACTGCTCTGAGTTATACGTTATAATTTCAATTTTCCATATGATGAAAATATAGATGCATAGAAGTTTAGTGATTTGCCCAGATTTGCACATCTGATAGGCAGCACAGGTCAGACTCAAATATGTGCCATGACCCCAAATCTCATGAATGAAAGTAAACTGAGACCTTCCATGTGGTCAAAAGTCAGGAGCCGGTAAAGGAGGGAGATGGACTCTTCCAGAGGGTTTGTAAGATTGTTCTGAAGATGACATAATAACTGCCGACATGGACCATGAAGCTGAGGGTGACACCCTGAGCTGCTTTCTTTTGGGTCTCCAAGAAAGCCTTCATGGAGTGGAGCCACCACACTAGCCCAGGACAGCTACAGCTGTTTTTCAACATGAGCAGAAAGAGAAATTTTTATCAGGTTTAAGCCACTGTTATTTTGGGTTTATGTTATTCACAGTGAATCTAATCCTAACTGATACAACCACTATCCTGCAAAAACGGTGGCAAAAAATATATATCACATATCCATCACATAAATCCACTTTTATAAGGAAATGAAGTCAAATTATTACCCCCAATAAAAAGGTGTTTCGCAACATGACCCAGGAAAGTAGAAGTAACATTTGTTCACTATTTTTCCCCGTCTCACAGCTCTCCTGGCCTCAGCGGATAAGTATATGAGAGCACAGTTTTCCTGGTGTCAGGATATGAAGATCCAGGGAACAAAGAACCTCAAAGAACAACACCTGGATTGTCAAGGTTTGGCCAGCAGTGCACTTTCTCCAACCTTACAGTCATACGCAAGGTGAAAAACTCTCTTGTTTTCTCTTTTCCTAAGTTTTCTAAAAGAAGAAAGAAAAGGGACAAAGACAGATAAGTGGAATTTAAGAAAAATGAAATATAAACAAACTACACTTTTCCCTGAACAGAAAAGCTCAATTAAGCAAAGACAGACAGAAGAGACATGTAGGATGCTAATTTGAACCATAGCCCCATGTCTAATGCTTTTAGCCAAGGAAAGAAGAGAAAAGCAAAAAAGAAATCTGAGTCAGAGGGAAGATGTCATGGTGAGTTTCAATGGGAAGAATTCCTTATTAATTCTAAAGAACACAAGGCAACATGGATTTAATTATACAAGTCAACCCACCCACATTCCTCCGCTGCCTTTCACACACATGGGCTTCTGAGGATGATGAAAGGTGGGTAGGGAGAAAGGGAAAAGGAAGCAGAGCACAGGATGGCTAGGGCCACTGAGAAGACAGCTCTACCCTAGAGCTCTGTGGCTGTGGCTTCACCCTTTCTAAACATGAGCGCCGCGTTGCCCAACTCCAGTTGCTGCAATAGCACCTGACCATGGCCTAGCAAATTCATTCACCTTGGGTCCGGGACACTTCTATGTTGTTCTATTTACTGTGAGGGGAATTTCTTAAGCCTTTGAGAAATGGAGAGGAGGATAGATAGGAGCTCAAAAAAAATCTCTCAGCTGCTTTTAATTTCCTATGGGAAACACAATGCAATCTCACCAAGTTTTTCACTAAGAGCAAGTCTCCATTAAAACTCCAAAGAGTTTAAATGTATTAGAAATTTGAAACACTGCTCAGGTTTTCCTGAAGTTTCCTTGGGACTTTTAACCTATACTCTCATCAATACCCCAATCTCTGCACCAGCAAAATCATTAAAAATGTCCCATAACCAAGACCCCATTGTTTCTTCCTGCTTTTTCTTTCACTTTCAGACAATACCTGTGAGAGTCCTAGCTGAGAGAGGCCCACTGACCGTTCTATGCTTTAGCTAACTATCTCTGGACAGTTTTAGACTTTTAAACTGAGGACATCCCACTTGGATAGAAAGCCGTGATGGAACTATGAAGTCACAGGGCATCAGCATGAGGGTTCAGTTGCCGATAACAAAACAAACAAACACCCACTCTAGCTGTCTCAAGCAAAAGGAATGTGATGCAGGGAACTGTGTGCTTAGAAAACCTTTGAAAGGCTTTAGGCAGACTTCCATGAAAGACTCTCAGAACAGCACCACCGAACTGGTCTGTCAAAGTAGCTACTTCATCTCAACCAATTTTTGAAAGGTGATTTTCAAAAATTTTTCAATGACTCATTTTTAAAAACTAAAATTATTTTGAGATAATTTTAGATTTTCATGCAAGTAAGTATTTAAGAAATAATATGGATTGCTGGCAAGATGGCCGAATAGGAACAGGTCCACTCTGCACCTCCCAGTGAGATCAACACAGAAGGCAGATGATTTCTGCATTTCCAACTGAGGTAACCAGTTCATCTCATTGGGACTGGTTGGACAGTGGATGTAGCCCATGGAGGGTGAGCTAAAGCAGGGCGGGGCGTTGCCTTACCTTGGAAGCACAAGGGGTTGGGGAGTTCTCTCCCCTACCCAAGGGAAGCTGTGAGGGACTGTGCCTGAGGAATGGAGCACTCTGGCCCAGATACTGCACTTTTCCCATAGTCTTCGCAACCCGCAGACCAGGAGATTCCCTCTGGTGTCTACACCACCAGAGCCCTGGGTTTCAAGCACAAAACTGGGCAACTGTTCTGGGCAGACACTGAACTAGCTGCAGGAGGTTTTTGTTTTTTTTTTTTCCCCATACCCCAGTGGTGCCTGGAATGTCAGAAAGACAGAATAGTTCACTCCCCTGGAAAGGGGGCTGAAGCCAGGGAGCCAAGTGGTCTGGTTTGGCAGGTCCCACCCCCACAGAGCCCAGCAAACTAAGATCCACTGACTTGAAATTCTCGTAGCCAGCACAACAGTCTGAGCTCGACCTGGGACACTCCAGCTTGGTGTGGGGAGGGGTGTCCGCCATTGCTGAGGCTTGAGTAGGTGGTTTTACTCTCATAGTGTAAACAAAGACAACTGGAAGTTTGAACTGGGCGGAGCCCACTGCAGCTCAGCAAGGCCACTGCCGCCAGACTGCCTCTCTGGGCAGGGCATCTCTGAAAAAACGGCAGCATCCCCAGACAGGGACTTATAGATAAAACCCCCATCTCCCTGGGACAGAGCTCCTGGGAGAAGGGGCAGCTGTGGGTGCAGCTTCAGCAGACTTAAATGTTTCTGCCTGCTGGCTCTGAAGAGAGCATGGATCTCCCAGCACAGCTTTTGAGCTCTGCTAAGGGTCAGACTGCCTCCTCAAGTGGGTCCCTGACCCCCGTGTATCCTATCTGGGGGACAACTCCCAGTAGGGGCTGACAGACACCTCATACAGGAGAGCTCTGGCTGACATCTGGCAGGTGCCCCTCTGGGACAAAGCTTTCAGAGGAAAGAACAGGCAACAATCTTTGCTATTCTGCAGCCTCTGCTTGTGACACCCAGGCAAACAGGGTCTGGAGTGGACCTCCAGAAAACTGCAGCAGACTTGCAGCAGAGGGGCCTGACTGTTAGAGACCCCATACAAAGGTCGCCAACATCAAAGACCAAAGGTAGATAAATCCACGAAGATGGGGAGAAACCAGCACCAAAAGGCTGAAAATTCCAAAAACCAGCTTCTCCTCCAAAGGATCACAACTCCTCGCCAGCAAGGGAACAAAACTGGACAGAGAATGAGTTTGATGAGTTGACAGAAGTAGGTTTCAGAAGGTGGGTAATAACAAACTCTTCCGAGTTAAAGGAGCATGTTCTAACCCAATGCAAGGAAGCTAAGAACCCTGAAAAAAGGTCAGATGAATTGCTAAGTAGAATAACCGGTTTAGAGAAGAACGTAAATGACCTGATGGAGCTGAAAAACAAAGCACAAGAACTTCGTGAAGCATTCACAAGTATCAATAGCTAAATCGATCAGGCAGAAGAAAGGATAAAAGAGATTGAAGAACAACTTAATGAAATAAAGCAAGAAGACAAGATTAGAGAAAAAAGAATGAAAAGCAATGAACAAAGGCTCCAAGAAATATGGGACTATGTGAAAAGACCAAATCTACTTTTGATTGGTGTACCTGAAAGTGACAGGGAGAATGGAACCAGGTTGGAAAACACTCTTCATGATATTATCCAGGAAAACTTCCCCAACCCAGTAGGATAGGCCAACATTCAAATTCAGGAAATAGAGAGAACACTACAAAGATACTCCTCGATAAGAGCAACCCCAAGACACATAATTGTCAGATTCACCAAGGTTGAAATGAAGGGAAAAAATGTTAAGGGCAGCCAGAGAGAAACATCGGATTACCCACAAAGGGAAGCCCATCAGACTAACAGCGGATCTCTCAGCAGAAACCCTACAAGCCAGAAGAGAGTGGGGGCCAATATTCAACATTCTTAAAGAAAAGAATTTTCAAACCAGAATTTCATATCCAGCCAAACTAAGCTTCAGAAGTGAAAGAGAAATAAAATCCTTTATAGACAAGCAAATGCTGAGAGATGTTTGTCACTACAAGGCCTGCCTTACAAGAGCTCCTGAAGGAAGCACTAAACATAGAAAGGAACAACCAATACCAACCACTGCAAAAACATGCCAAATTGTAAAGAAATTGCATAACTAATGGACAAAATAACCAGCTAGCATAATAATGATAGGATCAAATTCAGAAATAACAATATTAACATTAAATTTAAATGGGCTAAATGCCCCCAGTTAAAAGACACAGACTGGCAAATTGGATAAAGAGTCAAGATCCATTGGTGTGCTGTATTCAGGAGGCCCATCTCACATGCAAAGATACACATAGGCTCAAAATAAAGGGATGGAGGAATATTTACCAAGCAAGTGGAAAGCAAAACAAACAAACAAACAAAACAAACAAACAAAAACAGGAGTTGCAATCCTGGTCTCTGATAAAACAGACTTTAAACAAACAAAGATCGAAAGAGACAAAGAAGGGCATTATGTAATGGTAAAGGGATCAACGCAATAAGAAGAGCTAACTATCCTAAATATACATGCACCCAATACAGGAGCACCCAGATTCATAAAGCAAGTTATTAGAGACTTACAAAGAGACTTAGACTCCCACACAATAATAATGGGAGACTTTAACACTTCTGTCAATATTAGACAGATCAATGAGACAGGAAATTAACAAGGATATTCAGGACTTGAACTCAGCTCTGGATCAAGTGGACCTAATAGACATCTACAGAACTCTCCACCCCAAATCAACAGAACATACATTCTTCTCAGCACCTCATCGCACTTATTCTAAAATTGACCACATAATTGGAAATAAAACACTCCTCAGCAAATGCAAAAGCATGGAAATCATAACAAACAGTCTCTCAGACCACAGTGCAATCAAATTAGAACTCCAGGTTAAGAAACTCACTCAAAACTGCACAACTACACGGAAACTGAATAACGAGCTCCTGAATGAATACTGGGTAAATAATGAAATTAAGGCAGAAATAAATATGTTCTTTGAAACCGATGAGAACAAAGACACAATGTAACAGAATGTCTGGTACACATTTGAAGCAGTGTGTAGAGGGAAATTTATAGCACTAAATGCCCACAAGGGAAAGCAGGAAAGATCTAAAATCGACACCCTAATATCACAATTAAAAGAACTAGAGAAGCAAGAGCAAACAAATTCAAAAGCTAGCAGAAGACAAGAAATAACTAAGATCAGAGCCGAAATGAAGGAGATAGAGACACCAAAAAAACCTTCAAAAAATCAATGAATCCAAGAGCTGGTTTTTTGAAAAGATCAACAAAATATAGACCACTAGCCAGACTAATAAAGAAGAAAAGAGAGAAGAATCAAATAGACACAATAAAAAACGATAAAGGGGATATCACCACTGGTCCCACAGAAATACAAACTACCAACAGAGAATACTATAAACACTTCTACACAAATAAACTAGAAAATCTAGAAGAAACGGATAAATTCCAGGATGCATACACCCTCCCAAGTCTAAACCATGAAGAAGTCTAATCCCTGAATAGACCAATAAAAAGTTCTGAAATTGAGGCAGTAATTAGTAGCCTACCAACCAAAAAAAGTCCAGGACTAGACGGATTCACAGATGAATTCTACCAGAGATACAAAGAGGAACTGGTACCATTCCTTCTGAAACTATTCCAAACAACGGCAAAAGAGGGACTCCTCCCTAACTCATTTTATGAGGCCAGCATCATCCTGATAGCAAAACGTGGCAGAGACAAAACAAAAAAAGAAAATTTCAGGCCAATATCCCTCATAAACATCGATGCAAAAATCCTTAATAAAATACTGGCAAACAGAATCCAGCAGCATATCAAAAAGCTTATCCACCAGGATCAAGTCAGCTTCATCCCTGGGATGCAAGGCTGGTTCAGCATACACAAATCAATAAATGTAATCCATCACATAAACAGAACTAATGACAAAAACCACATGATTATCTCAATAGATGCAGAAAAGGCCTTTGACAAAATTCAACAGCCCTTCATGCTAAAAACTCTCAATAGACTAGGTATTGATGGAATGCATCTCGAAATGATAGGAGCTATTTATGACAAATCCACAGCCAATATCATACTGAATGGGCAAAAGCTGTAGGCATTCCCTTTGAAAACCAGCACAAGACAAGGATGCCCTCTCTCACTACTCCTATTCAACATAGTATTGGAAGTTCTGGCCAGAGCAATTAGGCAAGAGAGAGAAATAAAGAGTATTCAAATAGGAAAAGAGGAAGTCAAATTGTCTCTGTTTGTGGATACGTGATTGTATATTTAGAAGACCCCACTGTCTCAGCCCCAAATCTCCTTAAGCTGATAAGCAAATTCAGCAAAGTCTCAGGATACAAAATCAACGTACAAAAATCACAAGCATTCCTATATACCAATAACAGACAAACAGAGAGCCAAATCATGAGTGAAGTCCCATTCACAATTGCTACAAAGAGAATAAAATACCTAGGAATCCATCTTACACGGGATGTGGAGGACTTCTTCAAGGAGAACTATACACAACTGCTCATCGAAATAAAAGAGGACACAAACAAATGGAAGAACATTCCATGCTCATGAATAGGAAGAATCAATATCATGAAAATGGCCATACTGCCCAAGGTAATTTATAGGTACAATGCCATCCCCATCAAGCTACCAATGACTTTCTTCACAGAATTGGAAAAAACTATTTTAAACTTCACACTGAACCATAAAAGAGCCCGCATAGCCAAGACAATCCTAAGCAACAAGAACAAAGCCGGAGGCATCACGCTACCTGACTTCAAACTATACTACAAGGCTACAGTAACCAAAATAGCGTGGTACTGGTACCAAAACAGATCTATAGACCAATGGAACACAACAGAGGCCTCAGAAATAACACCACACATCTATAAGCATCTGATCTTTGACAAATCTGACAAAAACAAGCATTGGGGAAAGGATTCCCTATTCAATAAATGATGTTGGGAAAACCAGCTATCCATATGCAGAAAACTGAAACTGGACCCCTTCCTCACACCTTATAGAAAAATTAACTCAAGATGGATTAAAGACTTAAACATAAGACCTAAAAGCATAAAAATCCTAGAAGAAAACCTAGGCAATGCCATTGAGGACATAGGCATGGGCAAAGACTTCATGTCTAAAACACCAAAAGCAATGGCAACAAAAGCCAAAATTGACAAATGGGATCTAATTAAACTGAAGAGCTTCTGCACAGCAAAAGAAACTATCATCAGTGTGAAGAGAGTGAACAACCTACGGAATGGGAGAAAATTTTTGCAATCTATCCATCTGACAAAGGGCTAATATCCAGAATCTACAAAGAACTTAAACAAATTTACAAGAAAAAAAAAACAACCCCATCAAAAAGTGGGCAAAGGATATAAACAGACACTTCTGAAAAGAAGACATTTATGCAGCCAACAAACATACGAAAAGAAGCTCATCATCACTAGTCACTAGAGAAATGCAAATCAAAACCACAATGAGATATCATCTCACGCCAGTTAGAATGGCGATCATTAAAAATTCAGGAAATAACAGATGCTGGAGAGGCTGTGGAGAAATAGGGATGCTTTTATACTGTTGATGAGAGTGTAAAGTAGTTCAACCATTGTGGAAGACAGTGTGGCGATTCCTCTAGGATCTAGAACTAGAAATACCATTTGGCCCAGCAATCCCATTACTGGGTATATACCCAAAGGATTATAAATCATGCTACTATAAAGACACATGCGCACATATGTTTATTGTGGTACTATTCACAATAGCAAAGACTTGGAACCAACCCAAATGTCCATCAGTGATAGACTGGATAAAGAAAATGTGGCACATATACACCATGGAATACTATGCAGCCATAAAAAAGGATAAGTTCATGTCCTTTTCAGGGACATGGATGAAGCTGGAGAGCATCATTCTCAGCAAACTAACACAAGAACAGAAAATCAAGGACTGCATGTTCTCACTCATAAGTGGGAGTTGAACAATGAGAACACATGGACACAGGGAGGGGAACATCACACACTGGGAACATCACACTCTCGGGGTGTGGGGAGCTAGGGGAGGGATAGCATTAGGAAAAACCGAATGTAGGTGATGGGTTGATGGGTGCAGCAAACCACCATGGCACATGTATACCTATGTAACAAAACTGCACATTCTGCACATGCACCCCAGAACTTAAAGTATAATAAATAAAATAAAATAAAATAAAGAAATAATACAAGCTGGGTATGGTGGCTCACGCCTGTAATCCCAACATTTTGGGAGTCTGAGGCAGGCTGATCACCTGAAGTTGGGATTTCGAGACCAGCCTAACCAACATGGAGAAACCCTGTCTCTACTAAAAATACAAAATTAGCCAGGCATGGTGGCGCATGCCTGTAATCCTAGCTACTCTGGAGGCAGGATAATCGCTTGAACCTGGGAGGCGGAGGTTGCGGTGAGACGAGATTGTGTCATTGTACTCCAGCCTGGGGGACAAGAGCGAAACTCTGTCTCATAAAAAAAAAAAACAAAAAAAAAGAAAAAAAAAAAGAAAGAATACAGAAATTCTAGGCACTTTTTACTCTGTTTTCCCCAATGACAATGTCTTACAAAACCATAATACAACTATCACAACGAGGATATTGACATTGGTACTATCTACTTGTCTAATTCAAACTCCCCTGGTTTTAGTTGTACTTACGTGCATGTGTGTGTGTGTGTGTGTGTGTGTGTGTGTGTGTGTTTGTGTGTGTGTGTTTAGTTATTTGTAATTTTATCACTTGTTTAGATTTGTGTATCTGTTACCACAGTCAAGACATAGACCAGGCACCACGTTGGGCTCAAAAGCCAGGGATGACTATAAAGAATGGTAGTTCATAAGATGGCTCCGGAGATGATTTCTACTGGAATCCTGAGACAGTTTTTGCTGTGGCACTTTTTTTGTGATAATTATATAGCCTCCTTTCATAGCAATTTAGACTGAACTTCTGCCATGATTTTGGTGTCTGTATGTTTAAGATAAAGCTAATATTTAGTTATTTCTCCTGGTTTTATTTCATTTCTGGACTAATAATTATTGGCCCTTGTGCTTGGGTGCCAAAGGCTGTGACAGTGGAGACAGACTTCCTGCTCTGAATGGCTCATAGTAGGAAGAATCATTGTCATAGAACCCACTTTCTTTTTATTTTTACCCCCATGAAAGTATCAAATTTTGCTCATCTTGGCTCTCACCTGCTCCCTGGCTCCAGCCTCCCCAGAGTCTTGGTCCCATTGAATCCTCTAGGCTCATTCCTTCTCCAACAGCTTTTCCATTCCCATCCACCTTCGTGGAGCTTCCGAGTTCATTTTATTTCTCATAAAGAAATAACATATTCCAGCCCCGGCCAATCTTATTTTCCACCTCTTTCCAGGAGTCATGTATGAAAACTGCAAACTCTACTCAGAGTGTCCACTCCATGCCCTAAGAGTAGACATGACCATAGCAAGAGTGAGGAACATAGGAACAAAGAAGACACTGCAAAATAACAACTACAATTACTATGCCTGCTGTAGAAAACTTCTCTCCCCCAGTCACCACTGTCTCTTAAATTCAGTTATATCTTTCTTCAAGAGTAAGCTCAAAACTGCATTATCTAAGAATCTTTCTTTTATTTTTCCCACCCAATTTAGACTCTCATTTCATCTTGGACAATAACTATTTTATAAAGTTCCCTTCTGATTCCTACATTCCTCACATCACTATCTTGCTCAAAACCTATTAAGTCCTCACTGCTGAAAAGACTACCTCATTATTATGGCACTCAAGGCCCTCTTCAGTCTATGTTCAACTATTATTTGTAAGCTCATCTCAATAACTTTTCTGCAAACATCCTATGCTCCTTCATTACAAAAACACTTGCCATTTCCTATAATGTGCCATGAAATTTTGAATTATGGCTTTGTGCATTTTGATCCCTAAGGCTGAAAGTACCGTCATACTTTTCTGGCCAATAAAATCTTACCCCAAGATTACTCAAATGGCTCCTACTTAATGAGCCCTTTCCTGATTTACCTTTTCCTTCTTGATCCCTGTTGGGAACCTATAATCAACTGTGCTTTGACACATGCGGTAAATCAATTGTAATGTAGTCGGTGAGTATTTGATGCAGCCACTGAATAGTGAGCACAGGAATGAGGCTAGAGTATGGTTCATGTTTCTATCTGTAGAACCTCACACAGGTATGGAGGGGCACAATGGCAAGGATTAGGAAATATTCTGTTTAAACCAGAGAAATTCAGGAACATACTGCATGCTACTAGAATTTTTATTAAGATTTAGGTATCTGGAAGAAATGGTTTAAAGGAGGTCCGGGGATTGAGTATTGGGACCCTAGGTCACTGGGGTTACAATCTTGAAACAAAAGAAGGCAAAAATCTGCTTTAGTGTTTGAGGAAGTCCTAGAAATTAGTAAACTCATTTTGAACTGGAAGAGAATTAAGTAAGGTTCAGAGGCCCTATTTTGAAACACTGGAATTTCAGAGAAAAAAAATATGCTTGAGATGAAATACAGCAATTTCACTTGGCTATCCTTGAAGCAGATTCCTGATAACTCATTTCAAGTTTTTGTGTTGTTGGATGATAATACCTGAAAGCCCAGAAAGCCTTTTAAAAAATCTCATCAGTGACTATAATTCCTAGGATAACTATTCCAAGATTTGGGATACCTTTGAGTGATGGCAAAAACAAGAGTAATGGCAGTTCCAATGGCAAGAGCAGCTTTAGAGGTGGCAAGAGCAGCAGCAGATGGGCTTAGGGGCCCACAGGGAAACCAGCAGCAATGATGATTACCACCATTGACTGAACACCTACTGTGAGCATGAAAAGTTGCCAGATGCTTTATAGACATTATAGTTAACCTTCATAACTATAATTTAAAATATATATATATAATCCATATTTTGCAAATATAGACACTGTCTCAAAGTGAGGAGGTAACTTGCTTAGATTCATATTGTTAAGTAGTAGCAAAATTTGGATTCACTATTAAGCCCATGGTCTTCCTGCCACATTTTAATTTCTCTTAAAAGTGGGAATACTTGAAAGGACATATGTCCCAAGAAGTTTTAGAGTATAAAGATGCTGAGTGAAACTGTTGCTGTTGTTATTCATGTCAGAATCATTAAGGCTGTCACAGTCTTGGGATACCAGTAGGTCTAAAATAAGTGGTCGAACTAAACTGAAAGGAGCTTATACTAGTGCCGCAGTCTAATCCCACTATTTTCACCCACAATGTCTTTAGCAATCTTCTCTGCCTCCTTTAAAATTTATTTCCAGCATTCTTCACTTGGTGGGAGAAGTTCCCAGAGTTACCTCTCAAGAAGGAAAGTACCCATTAAATGTGCCACTGATTTTTTGAGGGTTGGAGGGAGGCTAACTAGAACCCATCAATGGTTAACCTCAACAAGAAGAGGAAAGAATGACTGTAGTTATTAATGTGGTTTAGACAAGTCTGGCTCAGCAAACTGGGAATCTGAGGCTAAGAAAAACAACAACAACAAACACATGCCCAGTACTGCCATTTTGTCCTCCGTTTCTCTGGGATCACTCCTGAATCACCCATAACCATCTTCCCTATGTTTCTACCAACCTCAGCAAAGAGCTCTTCAACCATTTCATGGATTTGGTCCACTCTATCATGACCACTTTTGCCATGGTCTTCTCTTGTTCACCTCCCCATCTTTTCATGGTCTGTTGGGGTCACTTGACTTTAGCCCCTCTCCTAGATTTTAGAACTATCCTTAATTGAAGATATATCAGATTCCATGATCTAACTCTTAGGTATTTTCTAGAAGAAAGTCTCTAAGAGTGAGGTGGATTTTAAGCTTACAATACATATGTTGATCTAGAGCTTACTTAAAAAAATTCTAAGCCTTTTCTAATATATATTTATGACAAAACTCCAGGACAAAATAAAGTGTAGAATTCTTATCATGAGTTGGTGCTAGTCATGGGAGCTGATAGCTTAAGTGGCCAACAGGTGGTCTCTTTTCACCAGCCATCATGCCAAACCCATCCATTGAGGGTATAGTTGGAAAAAAATCCCAACTGCAATCTCTTAGGCATTTCAGCATTCTGAGCACTAACAAAATAAGAGACTATAAAGATTCCTTGTGAACAATCCATACTTTAGGGCTAAGGGTTTCTAGGATTTTGGACAAGAGATGTCACTTTCAGAAGCCCTGGTAAGTTTGTGGATCTTTGAAAGTGAATTTGATCCTCTTTTCTTCATTCTAAGCAGTATTGGGATACATGGTACAAAGAGATGCTGCAGGGGACTTTTCAGAGAAACGTGATCATACCAAGGTGTCTTCTATCCTATCTTTACTGCTCCTGTCCTCCTCAGCCTCTCCAGTCCTTATTGTCTACTCCCCATGGTGTAGTCTGCTACTAATGCATTCTCTGAGCTTTTATTTTCAACAATTTTACTTGTATTTCCAACAATTAGCCGTCTTTTAAACAATTTTCCAATATTCACTTTCTACTCTGTAACATGGGTCCTCTGTTGCCTGTAATCTTTGGCAGTTTGGGGGCATGTCTGGCTCTAGTGTTCTACCTTCCTCAATCCAGCTTCAGTGAGTCAGCAGTTGATTATATTTTCTGAAGCCCGCCATGTCCCATGGACTTCAGTCCTGGTTCCAATTAAGCTTTGGTTTTCCAAATGGAAGATAACTCCTTATTTTAATATATCCTCCTGGCTACTTATGGGAGGGAGGTCGCAGAGCAGACATGGGAAGTTTTTAGGGGTAACATAAACAGAGGAGGCTACTGAGCCTTCTCTATTTACTGAGTTTCTGCAGGTCATTCTCTTTTAGCTGGCAGCATCTGTGAACTGGCCTTGCCTGCCATGCAGAAAGCTGACTTTTCTTGTACCAACCACACTTTTCTCCTTCATCTATTTACGGTTCACACACATTCTCAACCTAACCCTCCTGTTTTATATCATTTCACTCATCATCACTTCCACTCTTCCACTAAAAGACTTTCTGTTTACTTTTACCAAATCACATGATGTGAGATAAATGTTCAAATCCTTATTTATGGGCATTTAAAGATTGCAACACTCCTTTTACGAGGCAGCTATTTGATTCCAGTATGGATAAGCTACAAAGCTAGAGTTGGCCTCCATCGTGGCTTGCAAAATGAAGGGCACTGAAGTTATTTTTACTCATAAAAAGGTAAATAATGAGGCTCAGATCTGGAAACAAACAGAACCAGAGTGTACCCTGGAGAATGCCAGGATGGTCTATTGGAGTGACATCACTATAGCAGTACAGTCACACTGGGAGAATCAGTATAGATTCCCAAATTCTGCGAGCTGTTATCCAATTATATTGCCTAATCAAACTTGTCTACAGTAACAACACTTAAAACAAGTGCTAACATTTATTGAATGTTTAGGACAGTTCTAGCACTACACAGACATTTTTCATCTAATCCTTACAACTACCATTAGGAATAATTTCCATTCTACATATAAGGACACTAAAGCCCAAAGCAGTTATACCACTTGCCCCAGATCACACAGTCAGAAAATGGCAGAGCTGGGTGTGTTAGTCGGTTCTGAGTTGCTATAAATTAATATCCAAGACTGAGTAATTTATTAAGAAAAGAAGTTTATTTTGGCTCACAGTTCTGCAGGCTGTACAGAAAGCATGGTGCCACCATCTGCTTCTAGTGAGGGCCTCAGAGAGCTTACAATCATGGTGGAAGGCAAAGAGGAAGCTAGAGTACCACGTGGTGAGTGGGAGCAAGAGAGGACGAGGAGGAGGTGCCAAGGTCCTTTAAACAAGCAGCTCTCCTGTGAACTGATTACTATGAGGATGGCACCAAGCCATTTATAAGGGGTCCACCCCCATGACCCAAACATCTCCTACTAGGCCCCACCTCCAATACTGGGGATCACATTTCAATATGAGATTTGGAGGTAACACAACACTCAAGCCATATTACTTGGGTTAAAACCCAACCCTCTGGCTCCAGAGTCCCTGCCCTCAGCCACAGTGCTCTGCCACTTCTCCAAGGATAGGTCTCCATTCTGCTCCCTATACATGAGCCAGAGCTGTCACTCAAGGGAGCCATTTCTATTGCTTCACAGAGATTTCAGGATGCCTTTGCTCATGTTGAACTAAAATCTGCCTGCCCATAACTCTTCAGTTGGGTCTTTTTCTACCTTCAGATCCACCCAGAATATTTTGTTCTTGTTGTTTCTTATTTTCTTTTAACAACCTTTAGAGATTTGAAGATATAAATTGACTCTCCAATTCATACCTGAATATTATTTTTGTGGTTAGTGAAAACAATCTTATCCTGATAGAAAAACTGTTGCATTGAGTAATGAAACAGCTCTCTACCTTTCCAGCTAGTGGTTGGCAAAATAGGTCCACAATGGAGTGTAAGGTGCTTGAGGAGTAAGGCGATAAGCTTTGCTGATAAAAATTTATGTAGTTATCCACAGTGTTGTTTATATTAACCACAAATTATAAATAACCTGTGTCCAAAATAATGGAGTTTATAAATAGATTATAATTTATCCATGTGATAAAATACACATTAAAATTTATGTTTTCAAATTACACTTAAGGATGGGAAGTTCTCATAATAATGTTAATTTTGAAAAGTAGGATTTAAAACAATATTTAGAGTGTTGTCCCAGTTTTGAAAAAAACGTGAAAAGAAAAAAATACTAGTGATACATACAAAAATACATAGAATTCCTAGAAAAAAGAATGAAAAAATGCACCATTCTAGTAATAATGAATTATCTTTTATCTATTTTAATAAATACTCTGTGTATTTTCTAAATTTTCTAAAATGGCATTCATTACTTTCGAAGTCAATACATTGTTGGTGGTGGTGGTGTTGGTGGCGGTAATGTGTGTGTGTGTATGTGTGTTTAAAGATCACAGTGTGTCTAAGAATTACCCTCAGCTGAAGCTGGACTTGAAGATTTGGGAGAGGGGCAAATGACATTGGAATAGGGTGCTTCTACCATCCATTATGATCCCAATGTTTGGCCCTCAAATTGCTTTGAACTCCCATGTGCATTTAAGAACTCAGCAACCAGGATATAAGAGTGGCTGGGCCCTCTTCCCTCCTCCACACTCCGTCTCTTGTGCTGTGGTAGTGGATAATGTCAGTTAAATTTAAAGCTTAGATAAACAACAAATCTTGCATAAGACATACTTACATTTAAAAATTACTGATTATTTATCTAAAAATCAGATGTAGCTGGGAGTCCTCCATTTTAGCTGCTATATCTAGCAACCCTACCTGTAGATCCCTTCAGATGCCTTTTCAACATTTTTGTAAATATAAAAAATTCCCTCCTCTCCTTTACTGGTCCACCCTGGGAAGATTTCTTTATAAAATCACTCACCCAGGAGTCTTGCTTTTGGTGTTTCTGTGGAACTTGAACTCAGGAGAATCTTCTTCCCCTTTCCTGCCCCCATATCTCTTTTTCTATCTATTCAGCTCTCTCTCTTTCTTAGCATTTCTTGCTGGCATTTCTCCCTCTAAGCATTTCTCAAAAATTGCCCTCATTTACTTTTCTATGGATTATCTAAAAAATAAACATCCAATCGGGCGCGGTGGCTTACGCCTGTAATCCCGGCACTTTGGGAGGTCAGGGTGGGTGGATCACGAGGTCAGGAAATCGAGACCATCCTGGCTAACAAGGTGAAACCCCGTCTCTACTAAAAATATAAAAAATTAGCTGGGCGTGGTGGTGGGTGCCTGTAGTCCCAGCTACTGGGGAGGCTGAGGCAGGAGAATGGCATGAACCTGGGAGGCGGAGCTTGCAGTGAGCGGAGATCGCCGCCACTGCACTCCAGACTGGGTGACAGAGCGAGACTGTTTCAAAAAAACAAAAAAAACAAAAAAACAAAAAAACATCCACAGGATCTTCTCCAATGTGTAAACATATTACCAGTACAAATAGTAATCAAAACACAAAACTGACAAAGGATACAAATATAGAGTTGATAAAAATCTGTTGATAAGAGAAGAATCAAGTAGGCTATGAAATACAACCCAGGAAAACTGGCAATAATGGAAATAGTAACCACAAAAAATCCATGATTTTAGAAATGATACATGATGTTTGTTATTGACAAAAAATAGATACACCCTAATTGTATTACTTAGAGATAATTAACTGATCAGTTGAAAATAATTTAAAATGCAGATAAAAATGGAATATACAGATTAATAATTTAATCAGCTTGGATTTCACTCAAGAAAATGTTTCTTCAATGGAAATTCAACAGTGTTGACAAAATTCGGAAGGAAATAATTTTATTCGAAGACTTCAGGGTCAAAGTCAAGAGATAAAAATGTTATGCTCAAAGTGTTCTGTGTTGATGGACAATCTTGGCCAAGTTGTCAGCATAAACATAATGAAGCACGTGGAATCTGATTCTGCTGCCCAGGGAGGGATACTGAGGGAGAGGTGGGTGTGAGAGGGGGTTAGGCCATGCCATGGAGCCATAATGAAAGCTGATTTGTATTGGCCAGCAATGGAGTAATACATACTTTTGATCAATAGGAAAATTGTGGAACACTTACTAAGGTGTTGGACCCTATGCTAGACATGAGATCACCATCATCTCTGTGATCACATGAACTGTTTTCCCCACTTTATATATGAATATTGAGACTTAATGAGGTTAAATGGTGTTAAATTCACACAGCCAGAGACGTCTGACTGCAAAGCTGAGCTCTTAACACCTGTGCTTTGTGTCAGGCAATGTGTCTTCCCCATTCGTAGAGTGCCTCACTATGGGTGGACTTCAGTGTCAGGTGAAGGAGATTGAAATTAAATCTGTGGATGCTGGAGAGTGTTATGTGGAGTTCTGGAACCATATCATTCCTTTCTTAAGTTATTCTGGAAATAAGTGCAGGGTCAGGGGAAGACTAGAAGCAACGAGACCAACTTAAAATATTTTAATATTAAGAAATGACAAAGGCTTGACCCAACTGAGTGACAGTAGGGATGAAGTAGACAGGAAGTATAGAAATATACTGTGTGGGTGAAATTACCAGGGTTTGGTGGTTAACTAATGTAGGTCATGGAGGAATGGGGTCAAAAATGAATCCAGACTTAAATTTGAGTGGTTGGGAAGTTTTGCTGCAGAGAAAGGAGATTCACTGTAAGAATTTCAGACCCATACTGGTTGTCCCACCTAATCTTCCATTTGTATGTAAAATATATGAACTTCATAATTACAAGTTTAGGTGTGCAAACTATTGCCATCGTTATATTCTACAAGTTATCAATATAATTTTGAATTTTTTGTCCACAATTTGACTTCTTCAGTAAAACATAAATCTTTACATTATAGAAGAAACTTGATCAAATTCAGTTTTTTATTGTTGTTGTTTTGGTTAGGGGGAGCACTTCAGGTTGAAAATTTATTCCTCAGCAAGACTATTTTTCCTTCATTATCATTCTCCCTAGTGTTGAGACGAAATGGTAGCTCTGGTGTGAGATGCAGAGCAGTGCACGGGGGAGGGTGGGAATAAGTGGGAAAGTCAGAGACTTATGCAACTACAACCTTGTTTTGGTGGTGGGAGAGGTCGACTCATCTCCATCTTGGTCTAGGTCCTGTGGTACCATATTGGAATATTGTTGCTTTATCATTGTTAGATGCATGCACCTTCCTAATATTGGCCCACAGAGAGGGGGCCTGAGCTCCTATCAGTGGCAGCAAGGCCAGCCCACGTTTTGCTATGTGACCAGCCATCTAATCTACGTCACTGAAGCACACAGCCCTTGGCTCCCACTCCCTCTTGGAACACAGAAAATTAGATCCTAGCTCCTCTCTCCATGCCACCCAGGACCCGCAGAGCCTGGGGAGGCTGCTCGCTGACTTGTGTGCCTCACAGAGCCGCTGTGCCTGCTCAGGCATCATATGCTATCCAAAGCTTCTCTCCAACCCTTGCTTTCTTTTCAGCTATGCACCATTTTTTTTTCTGGGAGGAAGGTGAAGATGGCCATGAAATGCTCAGACTGATATGGGGAGTTTCTGTGTCTCTCTTTTCCCGGGAGCTTACTCAGGGTGGAAGGCAGGTCATAGGCCAATATCTAATCCAGTGACTTTCTCTAATCCTTCTTTCCTCCCCAGTTTGTGGGTGTCCAGATTGTCTGGGGTTAAGTGGAGAGGACAGGAGATCTGAATTCTTACAAACACATTTGCTTTGTACCTCTCTCTGTCTTTTAACATCAATGTTTTAAAATTTAACAGATAAGAATTGTCTCCTCTGCTCTCTGATCCCACCATGAGAAATAGTCCCTGTGATGAATGGTCTTAACTGTAAAAGTTGATGAGGGGTAAATAGAAGGAGAAAAAAAATGTTGCTTAATGTTTTACATTATGACATTTAACCACACAGTAGGTCAGCAGGTATAACAGGAACATCATAACAAGAATCTAGCTAGAACTCGACCAAAACTAAACCAAATCCAATGCAAACTTTTTTTTTTCTTGGCACACCTTCTGAATGTTGCTGTAGGCCAGAGGACAGAATAATGTAGAAAAACATCTTCTTCTTCCAATCTTAAGCTGATCATAATTTAGTTGGAAATAAATCTGAGATCGTAAATGGCAACAAAAAAAACAAAAACAGCTCAAGCAAACAGGCAATACTCACTAATGATGACTTTGGTGACATAGAGAAAAGGAATTGTCAGGAAAAAGAAGGGAAGCCATGGAAAGTGAATGTCCCTTTGCAGCCATTATTTTTCTAGGGTTGTAGTAGGGATACAAAGGCAGGGCAACAGTCCCCTTTCAGACATGACATGCTGGGGAGTAGGAATTAGTGAAGAGGAGATAACACCCTACTTAAAAGTTTAGTTGTCTTCCAGTTTCTTTGGGTCACTCAAGTCTCCACTGAATTGCTTGCTGTAAATAGAAAGATTTTTCTAGTTACACTTAAATGATAAAAATCTGGTTCAGCTGGCTGGATGACTATAAAAAATGTCATAGCAAACCACTTTAGGGCAAGCTTGAGAAGGTGAAATAGTGCAGATGCATGAAATGAAAATATCCATACATTCATTTATTTAATTTAGCAAAAAACTTCAGAGCACCTACTGTATTCCAGGCCTGTGTTAAGCAGTAGAATACAGAAACCAATAAAAAGGAGTATGCACTATCTAGATGCTCACTGTGAGGTAAAGGGACACACAGCAACCAGCTATGTTATATAAGATTATTCTATGGCCAAGGTATGTCATGGAAAGAGACCAGCTCTACCTAGCTGGGGATAGGGAAGGCATCACAAAGATAGCAGGAAATAATCAAATGTATCCTTTGAAGGGAAGAACATCTGGGAGTTAAAAAAGACTTTGATAAGGACCAGAGGCCAGAGAAAGCACAGCATGTTTAAGGAAATACCTAGACTTTACTGTGAGAGGACCTCAGAGAACTTTGCAGGAAGCAAATGGAAATGAGCCTGGAAAGTAGGCAGGGGTTGGATCATTAGGGACTCCTTAGCCCATCATATAAAATCAGGACATTATCCTTTGATGGAGGAGCACCATTGGCTGGTTTTTAGTGGGGAAAGCGTGACCAAATGTATCACATTTTAGAGAGAACACTTTAGTGCTATTGTGTTGAGTTAATTACAAGGAATCCACAGTGGAAACTGGAAGGCTGTTGTATACTATAGGAGAACTAAAATGGAGTCCAACCTAAACCAATAGGAGTGGGTGTGGAAGAAAGGGCAGGTTCAAGAGGTGGTGTGGTGTAGATCTAAGGAGTTAGGAGGTGCGCTAAGGCAAGGGGGGAATAAAGACGACGTCTAGGTTTTTGGCTCAAATGGGGAATAATAGAGTATACAGGATAGAGAGAAAGAGCATACAGGAGAGAGGAGGTTTCTAGGGGATTAGAGGATGGAAGTTCCATTTTAGACATGCCAAATTTGAGATGCCTGTGGGACATCAAAATGGAGATGTCTTACAGCTGTTTGATGTACAGGTCTGCAGCTCAGTAAAGAGGTCTGGGCAGATTTATATTTGGGAGTCATGTCTCTGAGACTGTGAATCAGTCCTGTCCAGAATGCTGATATTTATGAACTAAGAGAGAAGAAGGGTAGCCAGTGAAAGAGACTAAAAAGAATCAGAGGTATAGAATATGGAGCCTGATTACCAGGACACAAGGAAGGAGAGAGCATTAGGAAGAAGGGAATGGTTAGCATCGTCAAATTCTATAGCAAAGTCATACGGGACCATTGTAGTAAAGTCGGAGGGTGAAATGACTACTAGTGAGGGAGAGGCAGATTTTGCTCCAGCACGTGGGAGAGCTTTCTAGCCATCAATACTTCTAGTCCCCTGCATATAGCAAGCAATTGGTAAATATTTGCTTGAAATAAAGATTATTTAATGATGAAATTATTTGTCTGATGAGGACCACACAGGAGTTCATTAAGCAAAGGTGAGCTGCCCAAGTGACGGGGATGTTGTAAAAGGGATCCCTGCAATGGTTGGAGAGCTGTATAAACGCAGCCCTTTGACCAGTTTGGATGGCAAATGTTTGGTGTGAGTGTAGTGGTTTTGTTTTTGTTTTTCATTTTGAAATAAAATTACTTTGGCCAAATTAAGAGTGAAACCCAGGCCACTCCTTACTCATCATGCCATTTGATGTAATTCTTGTAACCCTTGTGTCATAATTTCCTCACCCATAAACTTGGGACATATCATCTCTCCTATCTACTCCCTCAGAGAATAAATGTGCTTGTTAAGTGTTCGGGAACATGAAGAAAAAAAAGAAGGGTAATGATACAGGACAGGTCTTGGAGGTCTAAGCTTGGCTTTGCTACTATTTTCCTAGGTTGACTTAGACAAACTAGTTTTTACATGTATAAAATGAAGGGGCTAGGCAAGATGTCGAAGATCTCTTCTGCCCCCAGTTTCTTTCAGGCTGTGATGTTCATTTCTTTGGCATAATCACCATTACCATCATTCCCAGGTTCACAGCACATGCAGGTGGAAAGGACTTTTTAAATGCACACTGGCTCAGGTGACCCCCAGTGCAGTCGAGTGATGGGAGTAGGGAGGAATCTCATTATTGTGTCCACTTTCCAGATGACATTGCGGCTCAATAAGGTCAACCATGACAGGCCTGGGGTCACAGAACTGACAAAGGCTGGAATGGAACCTTCAGCTCTGTTCTTTTCTCTCCAAAAACCATGCTCTGTCTACCTCCCTACAGCATTGTGTACTGATGTTTGGCATTATTATTATTCAACAGAAACCCTGGATTGATAAGGAAGGCGTCAATCCTGCCTTCAGAAGGCCCAACTTAGAGTCCAGTCTTAAGCCCTTGTTTCGTATTCAACATTGAGAAGGTCATTTTTCCATTGTGGAGATGCTCAATTTTTGCATATACAAAGAAGAGAGCCATTGCATCCTGCAGCTTCTGAAGGTCATGAAGAGGGTGAAATGAGATGAAGGAAGCAGACTGGGAATCACTGTGTACATTGCAGGGCCTGTGTTTCTGCAAGGTTTGCAGGCACATGGTACAGCTGATTGCACAGCGATTACAGTGCTTTTCAATGCTGTGGGGCTCAGCATGCCTGCGCTGGGAGGTGGTTCTCTCCCAATGGCTTGGGTAAAATACCCCTCAGAGGGGCTGCATTCTCCCTCCCTTTCAATCCAAATATTTAGCTTCAAGCCTGCTTCAGCTGTGCTTTGGCAAGAAGTGTTTTGGAGGAGGAGGCTGCTCTGAGGGGCCCTCCTTTGAAGCCCTGGATGTCCTACAGTGATATGGGGCCTTGGCCAAGCAAGTTGAGCTTTGAGGCCAGCAGCAGGTTTGAGACACTCCGGGGGCTGCTGACTTCAGCTGAGGGGGCTCAAAGCCCAGATCCCCACACAGCTGTGGACTCTCAAGGATCTCTCTCTCTCTCTCTTTCTCGGGCAGAGCTTCATGTGCATCTCAGCCAGCCCTGCAGCAGCCCTCAGCAGCCCTTCTGTGGGGCTGGGGTATCTGTTGCCCAGGAAATCACTGGGCTGAGGGTACAAGATGGGATCTTGGCTTTCTCAAAAGAAGAATGAATTATTATTATTGATTCCTCTGGCGGAACTCTTGGGGCTGGACTCACCATTACTCCCAGTGACCTACTTGGGAGATTTCTGTTTTTTGTTCCTGAAACCTTAGATTCTGAGAGCTGTTTCTACCAGGAGATACAGGACTCATTAACTTAAAGCTATGACCACTGCTGATCAATTTGGGCCCACTGTACCAGTAGACCAGCCGGCAAAGAAAATAGTTCATGCACTGGCAGTTGTAATATACCCTGATCATAAGGAGAAAGCATGGTTATTTCACAAAGAGGGTAGGGAAGGGTAGGAAGAATATTTACTTTTTCCTCAGGAGATGCTCTACTCCCTAAATAATTGAATTCCTATTGAATGTATTGAGAGAAGTTGGCACTTAGGTATTGAGAATGCTACCACCTATATTAGAATCAAGGGTAAGAAATAATTGGAGTGAAAGCAATGGAAGTTGAAGAGTAAGATCAATTGTACATATATGGAAGAGGAGTGTCTCCCCTTTAGGTCCAGGTGTGACTTGGCATTGTAGAAGGGCAGGAGGCAGAGGAAGGGGGATGTCCTTCTCTCCAATGGCTCTGCACTCCCTCATCTTTCCCAGAATAATTGGTTGTGAGGACAAAAATGATGTCACTATACCACACCATCTCCTTATTTGAGGCAATAAGGATTTGGGTGAACTTCAACTTACCATTATGATTGAGAGAAAGTGGAGAATCATTTGGGGAAACAAACTAAAAAAGCAGAAGTTTGTCGACTCAATGATTCATAGAATGGCCACTGCTTTATTTTCTATAGCTGGACATTTTCTCCTGTCTTTCTGTAAGATGCATGCCATGAATAGATTGATGTTCTTGGGGAAGAGTACCCATCTCAGAGGTGAAATCATTGATTAATGTTTTCCGGGGATATGTTTATCAGTGAATCTGCAATGGCTAGAGCAATTCCTGGCAACATGGGTACTCAGAAAATATTTGATGAGTAAATAGAAGGAAGAAAGGGAGAAAGGAAGGCAGGAAAGAAGAAAAGGTAGGGAAGTAAAGGTAGGGAAGGAGAGGTGAGAGGAGGGGAAGAGAGGGAAGCAAGGAGGCAGCAGAGTGGTAGGGAGAGAGAGAGAGAAGGGAGGGAGGGAGGGAAGGAAAGAACGAAGGAAGGGAGGGAGGGAAGGAAGGAAGGGAGGAAAGAAGGAAGGAAAGGAAGGAGGGAGAGAGGGAAGGAAGGAAGGAAAGAAGGAGGGAAGGAGGGAAGGAAGGAAGGAAAGGAAGGAGGGAGGGAAGGAAGGAAGGAAAGAAGGAAGGAACGAAAGGAAAGGAGGGAGGGAGGGAGACAGGGAGGGAGGAAGGAAGGAGGGGAGGAAGGAAGGAAAGGAGGGAGGGAGGAAGGAAGTAAAGAAGGAAGGAAGGAGTTTCTTACTTCTGGCTCATCAGATTTAGAGGTCACACTTGTGATACTATTCTGTGATAATGTATTTGGTATCCTGGAGGTGGGAAAAATTCATTTTTGTCTCATTAAATTTATAAAACCCATGGCTTTTGCCTAAGGGAAGAATTGTGTTTATAGAACGGTGAAGTGTTTCTAAGTAAATTGATCCTGTACGCAAAAGTGTGTAACAGTTTTGTTGACATCAGATTTTTACTATGGTAAGTTCAGAAAGTTGATGTTCCTTGACTGTCCCTCTTGGTCTGTTAGAGGCTTCTGTCACTCCCGTATCATAACTGAATCACTTTGTATTATTGCTCCTCCTCACATAAGACAGTTTACTTCTGCCTGTTCCTAAACAGCAAGAATTGAAAGAAAATGTGTAGACTTAGAAAAAGTATATACCCCCGAGGCACCTTTAAATGCATTTTTCCAAGGCATATCAAAATATCCTTGGAATTTGTTGTGAAAATTTGACCACATCCTAGTTAGCATGAGGTTAAAATTAACAGTAACATGTGTTTTAGGGATCTCAATTTGCAAAATATTAATAGAGTTCATGGGCAGTTAACTGCAATAAAGGGAGGAAATGAAGTTTATAGTGCAAGGCCCTGGGGATTTACAGCTTTCCCTACCCCTGAGCACTTTCATATCCCAGAACTCACATAAAGTGAGGAAGGCCATAAAAGGAACAAAGAAGGAAAGCTCAAGGTTGATGTCATAGGTCTCTTTCTCTTCCCTCCTGGGAGGACTTCCAGTGATTCCAGAGGTAGCCTCACTTAGCCTCAGTTTCCTCCTGCCCATTCAGAAATCCATGATTCACCCTGAGGTGCAAAAACAGGGACCTTCCGTGAGACTCATAGCATGCTGAAACATCAGAAAGGAGCCCTGATCAATTTCTTATCACTTCTGTGGAAATGTGATTCTTATTGCATTTTCATCTCAAGTTAAACTACTTAGGCATAAAAGAAATTTAAAAAAATGCATGGAAGACATTCCAGATTGAGAGTCAGTAGACATGGATTTATGCATTCTCTGCTTTTGACTCTCTTGTAACTTTAAGGAAATCACTACTTCCTTCTACATTTTTGCCTGCTCACCTAAACAGAAATAGTAGGGCTAGGGGATCTCTAGGGGCTCTTCCTGCTCTTTAGTCTGTAGTTTAATATGAATCTGACTTTTGTCCAGTGGGCTTTCTAAGGAAAACCTACTAAAGAATGATTATTGAATACAAGATTCAGATATTAGAGCCAGGAGAAGTCACTGCAAGCTAAAGTAATCACAATAGCAAGAAAGGTAGGCTTTATTTCAAAGGTGGGATGGAAATTGAATGATGTGAGAGGAAAGAGGTCATTCCAGGCAAAGAGAAGGCTTAGGGTAAAGGCTTGAGGTGTGAAGACACAAGGTCTAATTTGAAATTCAATGGAGAGCAAGGTAATTGGACCAAGTTGAAGAAGGAAACAAAAGAGGATGACCTCCACGGCCTTCCCAGGACTTCATCTGGGCCATTTCTGGGGCCACCTTCAGGGACACACTTCAGTGTAGTACATAGGAACATTTTTGGACTCAAAATGTCAAAATAGGTGGCATTTCTGATGAAGGCCCTACCGGTCTCGCTTGCCCAGCTAGTGCTCTTGTAGCTGAGACCTGACTTTCTCACTCCAGTTGGTAGCTGTCCTCATGTCAGTTCCTTTCACACTAGCTCCTCCACAGGCCTTTGCCATATTCACCTTCTGCTTCTAGAATGGGGGTCATTCTGCTTTCGAGAGAGCCTCCATGGAAAGAATCTGGGAGTGATGACTTTCCAGAGTGTTAACATACGAAATCTTCCACCCTCTTCATATTTTTTTTTTTTTTTTTTTTTGAGGTGGAGTCTTGCTCTGTCACCCAGGCTGGAGTGCAGTGGCGCAATCTCAGCTCACTGCAACCTCCGCCTCCAGGGTTCAAGCGATTCTCTTGCCTCAGCCTCCTGAGTAGCTGGGACAATAGGCACGTGCCACCACTCCCGGCTAATTTTTGTATTTTTAGTAGAGACAGGGTTTCACCATGTTGGTCAGGCTGGTCTTGAACCCCTGATCTCGTTATCTGCCCACTTGGGCTCCCAAAGTGTTGGGATTACAGGCGTGAGCCACTGTGCCTGGCCCCCTCTTCATATTCTTTTTTATTTTATTTTATTTTATTTTATTTTTATTTTTTTTTTGAGACAGAGTCTCGCTCTGTCGCCCAGGCCGGACTGCGGACTGCAGTGGCGCAATCTCGGCTCACTGCAAGCTCCGCTTCCCGGGTTCACACCATTCTCCTCTTCATATTCTTAAGGCTCAATCCTCTGAGCTTCCAGGAAGCCTAAGGGTACCCAGGACTCACACCATTTCTGCTCTTGGCAAAGTTATCAGGAGCTTTCCACCACTTCAATCTTTGGGAAGAGTGAAGTTCAGTGGAGCTCAGACTATCATGAACCCTTGTTAGTATCCATTGACTGGGTTTGATACCCAGGCACTCTCATTAGATTCTAATCACTTTTTGACACAGTGAGGTCTGAGGCTTAGTACTCTCCAGGTCACTCTGCTGACATCTCCACTCTCTCTGACCTTGTCACTAGAACTGGGATCTGGCCTTGTATTTTTCTTAGTCATGAACCCCTACTTTGTTAAGTGTCTCAGGCCCCCCAGGACCACAGTTCTCAGCTCATTTATCTGGGAGTATTAATATCCTGCCTTGTGCTTGCCTGGATTCTTTATCTGACTGGCAGGGGCTCTGGGATAGATCACCTTCTGAACTATGACCTAGGTTGCAACAGCCTCTCACACCTGTATCCTTAGGCTCATTTGTGTTGCATGCTTCAATTCCCCAAACATTCATCACACGTTCTTCTTACTTAAACTTGATTTCTCGTCCTTGATTTGTGAGCAGTTAGAGCAATAGCCCCCCACAGAAATATCAAAAGCTGTTTGTTGTTACAAAGACCTCATTCTACTCTCATTAAAGATGTTGGGAAAGAATCTCATGATGCTAGCTCATATTCTTGATGGGAATTATTTGATAACTACCTGATACAATTTTTTAGCCTCATAATCACTTGCTCTGAATCTCCAGAACACTGAGAAATTGAAGGAAATATGTAAGGGTTGTTTGTTCCTTTATTTGCTTATTTTAATTAAAGTCAGCATTTTCACAAAAGTTGTGGTCTTTTTAATTGTGCACACTTTGTGCCTTAGTTTATCTGTGTTCAGTTCCTGGCTAAAGATCATTTGTTTTCATAAGAATGTACATGTGTCTGAAGCATCAGAGCTACAGCCGCTGCTCCCACCCCATCCCTGCAGACTTCATCCTGCTCAGTCCAAGGCAAGGGAACTATCCACTGGCTCAGACCCATTATGAGAGAAATCTAGAATTGTCTTGCCTGCTAGTCCTGGGCCAAAAGGAAACTGAGGTAGCTCTTCAGTACACAAGAGTCTAATGGATGGCAGGTCTCTCAACCCCCACAAGCATGCCCACCACAGGCAGAAGATGCCCACTGCCATCCCTCACCAAGCCGACTGAACACTCACAATCTCATAGGACTGGTCAGTGCTGAGTTAATGGAACCCTTTTGGAGCCTATCAATGGGATTCCTCAATACATCCAACAAGGGCTTCTACACTTTTTCCTCATTCAAGACATACTGAGCTTTTATCCCTCAAATGAGCCCATGCAATTGGTGCCTGTATGGTCGACACACCTGACAGCAATAACTTAAGTCTACCCTGAGAATAACCCCATATAGCAGACGGACCTGACAACAATTATTTAAGAAATGAGGGTGCTCATGTGGAGGTTGCTGAGGAGAGGGTGCTAAGTGAGGATGTTATATAAACTGCATTTTTTTTTTTTTTTTGCCAGCAGTTGTGGTTCTCCTGTCCAGCCTGCCACCACTGGACCATCCCTGTATGTAAGTTCACCCAAATAAAACCATAGGCCTCTTTTGCTGGCTGTAGGTCTCTTCTCTAGCCTCTTGAACCCAGTGCCATCCCTACTGAAGTTATTAGGGGTCTGGCATGACAGTGTCACAGCATGCTTCAATGCCTGCAAAATAGACTGAGTCTTATGGTTTTGTCTCTGTTGAGTTTATTCTGATGATGGCAAGGTTCTTATCCTTTTCACTCATCCATAGTCGATGAGAAAGGCCATCCACAGGAGCTGACACCCCAAAGGGAGATCACCTATCACCCTAAATAACTCAGGTCTGGTCTCCCCAGCACAAGTGTCAATATGGGCAAAATTCCTTCTGACTCAAATCCCAAAGTCCTCCACATTTCTTGCTTATCCAGAAGATTCCCTTAAGCAGCCCAAAATCCTCTGAAGGGCTTGACATGTGCTGAGCTCCTGAAGGCTGTGGGTAAAGCCAACCATGGAGCTTCAGGGGGTGTTTGCATGCTGAGCAGGCTTAGCAGAGACACTGTACCAAGCAGTGTTTTTAGAGTGAAGAGGAATTTGAGTTTTTCTCATCTGGGACCAGGAAAGATTCTGATATGACCCAGAGGATTACAGTAAGAGAGACTTTTCAATAATGGGGTAAAGAGGAAATCAGACTGAGTTTGCAGGAGGCATCTTGGGGTTTTAATCCCTGCTCAACAACTTACCAACTCTGGGGCTATAAGCCATTTATTTCTCTTAGCCTTGATATCTTTATCAATTAAATAGAGATAATAATATGCATCTTGAGGAGTTACCCTGAGAATTACATGTGGCCATGGTTATAAAATATCTAAACAACATTTGGTACACAGTAAGTGCTCAATATATAGAAGCTATTTACTACAATAAAGGAGAGTTAAGGCAGGTTACTGGAATTACTTCATCATTTTCTCTAGATCTGAGAGATTCCAAAGGAGCTGATATAACCAGACATATGGCCTAGTCAGTTCTAGGAAAATCTATAACAAAACTCACTTTTCTTATGAGCTTCAGCAGAACTAAGAGAAATAACTGCTCCAAAGTTTGGAGAAGAGCAAAAGGCTGAATTCAGGACCTATTTGTCTTACAGACAAGTAGAAGCTCCCTACCGCATACCCAACACCGCATATGTGCACAGAGGTGCACAAACGCAAAGGTGCAGACACACATGCATACATGCACATATTCACATATGGAGCTCCCACTCCAAGACTGAGCTACCTCCCTTGCCCACTGTTCTTAAGCTCCTATGCTGTATCAAAGGAGAAGAAACTGATGTTTCAAGCTTGTTGAATTCTAACTCATCAAAATAGTTTGGGTTACCCCCTGTGCTACTTTACAAGGCACTTAGGCATTTTTTCATGGGGTTGGGAAATCATGTTTCATCAGTAATAAACAGGATCAACCCCCAAAGACTGAAGCTCAATTTCAAGCTCAGAACCCAGGAGGTCAGAGTGGATTCTATCACAGAAAATCACAAACTCCCTTTCCTCAGCAAAGCAAAACATATTCTGGGAGAAAGAGAGGAGGCTTAAAGTCAGGCACAGCAGTTTCTAATATTTTTCCACTTGACTTTTCTTAATTAGTGTTGACTAGCTTAATGAAGCAATTAAGGGGCTTATTTGCTTTTTAAAATCACATGTGAAATTTAAGAAACCTTGAAATAGAAGAAATATTTGTCCCCAAGATCTTACCCCACAAGGGATATCAGTTTGAATATTCTCCAACCACTAGAAAGTGAGAACAACCGACCCTGTTCTCCAAATGAGGCCCAAGCAAAACAGAAATCGCAGTAGCCGACTCTGCATGTAGAAATCCTCAGTAAGTGAATGGCTGCTTTTCAGATGTTATTTCTGAGACTTCCATGAAAACAACAATGATAATTAGCTTTTGATAATAAAGACATCTACCACTTATTGATTAATTATGAACTAACAATTGTGCTGCAGACACAATTAGATTATTTTAATATTTTCGTATATTATTTCAATTTAAATCTGTAAATTTTCCCTCCTCTTTTTACTAGAGTAAGAAAATAACGATTCACAGAGGGTGAATGGCATGGCCAGGGTCACACACCTGTCAGGACCTCGATTGAAACTTTTCTCATTCAGACACATGGTTTTCCCATGACATTTCACTTTCTTCCCTTGTGATAATTCTAAACCAGGGGAATTGTGGCTTAAGCACACCAAAGATCATTAAATAACTAAATTTGTGTGTGCATGTTTACACCTATATTTATATAAATAGCATATATAATAGTAAAAATTACATTATTTTAAATAATTATATCTAATTATCTGTATGACAAATAAGCCCCTAATAGATGGTATATTAATCATATGTTTATAGTTTTTTAAGTGATTTACATGTAATGATAAGCCTACATATCACAATTTGTAATTGATATAAACATAAATTGATAATAGTACAAATACATATACAATATATTAAATGTGATATGTATGTGACATATACGTGAGGCATACAAATCCATAATATGTAATACAGGCCATAATATAACATGACATATAAAACATATAATACATAATATTGTGATATATGTAATGTGTTTGTATAAAATACACAATACATGATATATAATACATGGAAATTATGTCTTTAATAATTGTGTATAATTACAGTATTATCAGAAATTTTGATAGAGGGTTAACGATTAGATTATTTTATATTTATTTTAATAAATATATCCTTAGAGGACATATTTATTTATTTTAATAACTATATCCTTAGAGGACAATATTCTATATTACAATATAACTCAATCAATAAATTTGATTATTAACTAATAATATTATGGAGTAATTAACTGGACTATCCAGAGTTTAATGTGTGCATCTGGCCATACACAAGTTCACATTTATTGCCTACCATGTGCTAGAAACAGTGCAAAGCACTTTACATATCACCTTTTTAAACCTTCCCACAAACCAGCAAGGTAGGTACCATTCACTGAAAAGAAATTGAGGCATATATCAGTTAAATATTCTTTTTTTTTTGTTTTTCCTTTAGGGGCACAGAGCTAGCAAAAGAGCCAGGAATCAACCCTTATTTTGTCTTATTCCAAATGATATAGTGTTTGTATTCTACCAAGTCAGATAAGTAGGTGGAGAAAAGACAAAGTGACAAAACACAGGAGGGACAAAGAGATTATGCCTTCATGCTTCCCTGCTCCTTGAAAATGTAGTATATGCCAAGTTTTCATTGATTCAGTGGGTAAGGCAAGGGACACTGGCCTGGTGCCAGTTCAACCACTCTTTCAGTCTCTTGTTTATTCAACAAGCTGTTCCACTGGGTCCTGGGGAAGAGGGAATTATTTGGGGTGGCAGCCCATGGCATATGTCCTGATGCAGCCCATGGCATATGTCCAAGCCCCTCCCAGTGTGACACTCTTGTGACCAGGGTCCATATGCTCATGGCACTCCCTTGGACTTGGCTATTTTTTTGTTGCCTCTGGGACTGCAGGCTAAATACTTGGCACTGAAAACATTGCCAGCAGCAGGACAGTTTGGGAGTACATCCCACATGGGCACTGAGTCAACAGTGCCAACAGGAGGAAAACATATGAGCCCGGGGAGATTTCTTAACTATCTGCCCAGTGGGGGAAATTGTTTATTTTCTACATATCTCCCAAAGAACCCATTTATGAGCTCCATTTGTGACTTCAAACAGGTAAGTTGGCAGAGACATGGCAGTGAAGATAAGATGATGACTAATTAATAGTCTTGCAACAGGTTTCAACACCCAGATCTACAACTACCATTATTTTTTTTCTTAACCACTAACATTTATTTTCAAATACAAACATGCTTCTAAGTATTTTTCTTAATACAGATAATAGTTTTATCTTGTTCCTGGCACGATTTCCTCTTCCCGATAGGGTTATAAATAGGGTATTCCATTTGGCAAGGGTCTTGTCCGTGGCATTGGAGAGACGATTCTATAGTTACTGTAACAAAACAGCACATAGTTGGCATATTTCTCCCCAAACTTTCCTAACATTTACACTGCCATCTGCATACTTTTCACTTGACTTCACTCTGAAAATTGACTGTTCCTCTGATACATACCAGAGACTTGGCTACTTGGACATTTGGAAAAAAAATAAAAGGAGCAAAACATGAAAAAGGAAGCATTCTTCCCATTTCTGATCCCAGGCATTCAATACTTGTAATAGTACAGTAGTTTGTAAGAGTGGTTTAAGGTAGCTTCCTTTAAGGTCAATTTTAATTTTAAGATTTTAGGATTCTGTGAATGAAGGGATAATTCATGAATATACTAATATCGATAACTGCTTTATTTTCCTGAGTTTATATGGCTAATTGCCTATATTCAAATATATATGTAGAAAAATGTGGGAGCAGTATGTGTGTGTAAGAAAACTCAAAAATGGGTCTTAAAAACACAATAAAGTTAAAATGGAAGATCCAGACCTAAAACCCTTTCCAAAGTTCTGCTCCCAACATTTCAAGTAAGTGTTAGATAATGCAAATTAGTTTTTAAGAGGATTAAGATGTTAGAACATAATATCTCTGGAAGTTCAAGGATTTCCATTGTTGTGAGACAAAAAATGCATAAGAATACAAATCTCCATAGTTTCGTCTTCCAGATAACCTGATAACCCCCACCAGTTGGGCTTCACTTTCTTTTCAGGTTTAAAAAAAGGAGGGGGAAGGTTTTGGTAATAGCTGCAGGAGTTATTGATGAATTGAGGATTCTCCAAAATGAGACTTTTAGAGAGATAGAATACACATAGCCCTTGCCTGAAGAACTGGATAAATCCACCCTGTCTTCATCAAACATGGTTAGCCCAGGCATCATTTGAATGAATGCGAAGGGAAAACTAACTTCTCGATGTTTTTTCTTGAAACTCTGCCTGTGCATTTGCTCATGTCATATGAGCACATAGAAGAGAAGCCAGGTCACTGAGTGAATATTGGCCCATAACACATTTTATGGAAGGCTATTTGGTGCCTAGTCACCCCCAGAATGTCTTCATATGAGGATTTACTGAGCCAAAAACAATTTAAGATTTATTTGAGAAGTCACCCAAGTGATGAGTCCATTTGTGGATACAAAGATATTAGTGATTAGAATGGTTGCATTGGAGATGAGAAGTTTCATTGCTGTTGCTGCTGTTGTTTTATTCTTTTTCTATGCTCTTATGCAAAATACTGTAGGAAAATAATTTTTTAACCAAGTTTAATGTGAGATTTTACTTGTGATTTTGATATTTTGATCCCAAGCCTTTGGGTAATCAAATACTTACAGTTGGAGAAGTCAAATTTTCTGTTTTTATTTTAACAATCGTTTTAGCTTATTGAATGAAGGAGTGGACACTGGCTAACTTTACAGAATATTTTATCCATAATTAAGAAATGAAGCTGAAATAAGAACATTGTTTCTCATGGGTTTAAAATAATACAGATAATGTATTTTAATTCCAAGTGCTTTGGAGATAAAAATTTGAGGGAGAATAAACCAGTACACACCTGCACACACACGCACACACACACACTCACACACACATTTACACACATATAGAAAAAAATACATTTTTAAGGCTTACCTACTTACATATATTGTGTTTAAATGAACATCCACTACATCCAACTCTTGTCGCTCTCATCCATCTTAGATATTTAATTTAACTATAACATTAACAGAGAGCTATGGTTGAGTTTGTAAGAAAATATCACATGCACAACATATATTTCTGTAAGGCATGATGCTGGGTTCTGGATGTTGACTGAGAGAAGAAAGAATGGACATCATTTTGACATTGGAAAAATTCATAAATTTGGTGGAGAACAAACATCTGTCATACAAGCTAAATGAGCATAAGTTGCATTTTAAACTCAGCAGTTCACAAATTTATCAGTCACAACCTTGGCATCTTCTTTGATTCCAACTTCCAATTAATCTATCTTATACTTTTCTCACCTTGGCCTCTCCAAATTATCTCAGTTCCTCTCCCCAGTCAGTCAGTGTCTACTTCCTGTGGGTAGATCTACAATTCTGTAATAACCTGTCACTCTATAATTCAAGTCTCTCTTGATTGGCACTGCCCAAAATGGTAGCCCCTAGCCACATCTGGCTTTTACATTAATATTAAAATTAAGTTAAACTTTCAGTTTTTTATTCAAACCAGTCACCTTTCAAGTGCCCAATAGCCACATATGACCCATGGCTGCTGTTGGTGGATGATGCTGGTATTTCTACTGGCTCAGAAAGCTCTGAGCTAGATCTGCGCTAAAGCAGTTTAAAGCTCGCTTGCCAGGCTCTGCTCCCTGTGGTTTCCTCAGGCAAGCGAGCCTCCAATAAGTTAAATTTTCATTGTTTTCTGCATATATTCTGAGCTTCATTGACTTGGGGGCTTTGCTATTTCCAAAGCTTCAAGAGTTCTTTTGAAATCCTGTTGTCATTCAAGGCCTAGAATAAAGAATTCTTTCCCCTTCTTTTAAGAAGCCTTTTCTAATCTTCCCAGTGAGAGCTTTGACTCCTCTGGAATCTGAGAGCACACTTTGTGTCTCAGCTGTGCTTCACTCAGAGCTCTGCTTCAGTGACAAGAGCTGGATGCAATGAATGTCCAGTCTTTCAAACACAGCATATGTGAGCAGATAAGCCTTAAAAAATTGTGAACTGCTGAGTTCAAAATGTAAGTCTTCAGAGGAATTTTTTTTTTTTTTGCTCCAGTAGCTGGTGATGCTATTTTTTTGAGGTCAGGGGAAGCATGAAATTTTCATATTTCATGACCTCTGGTTTTTCTTCTTCGTGTGTTTTATTTTACTTATTTATTTTTTAAAGTTTTGAGGACATTAAAGAGAAAATAAAAGAATAAAAAGGGGAGAAGGACACAATTGGTGACAAAATCTGAAGGTGAAAAGGGAGAAATAGAGTTACATCAACCATATATGAGGGAAGGATGGGGTTGCTGCACATTGTAGAATAAAGTCCTATAATTAAATTCTTTTTCTGCCAATTTGCTTTCTGGATCTATGTGAGTGAATTACTGTCACTAAACCTGTCATTTGTTTTTGTTTTATTTTATCTATAGAATAAAAATAGTAATGCTCACCACATAGGTTGTTGTAAATATCCCTTAAGGTAATATATGTAAAAGTCCCTCTTAAAAAAAAAAACAAAATGTCTCATACAAATGTGAGTGGTTGTTTACAGCAAGCTTCCAGAAAAGGAGGGTTTGGAATGGGGAGAAACACATGTTCTCCTGTCCCTTCACAAACCCACTTTCTTCTGACAAAGCTCTGCCGACTGATAAAGTTCCAGTAGGCTCTTTGTGAGCTATCCAGGGGGTTCTCTTTTTATCTCACAGAAATATTTATGTATCTACAAATTTCTATAATTTTTTTATTCCACCCTCCTTGGGATGTAGTTATGACTGTTGAATATTTACTTTTCAGACATTCCTTCTCCCTTTGAAGAAATCCACAAAAGAAAAAGCAAAATACTGACAAGTTTTCAAAGCCATGATTTACAGGAATGAATTCTGAAAAGCAAGTGGCTAACATCCGAGTTCATCATCAAATAATATTTCTAAAGCACCCTCTAGTGTCTGGCCCCAAGCCAGATGATTCAACGCCTGGAGAAGCTACAGACTTTTTAAAAGTAAAATAGACTCATGTCTGCTCATGAGAAGCAAGTCAGCGTCATTTAGGATGCCTTAGGAATGTCTCTCTAAATAAGGATTAAAAATGGATTGCTGTAGAAAAAGTAATACAAGTACAAACACTAATAATATTGAATGCAATTTAAATTCCATTTTAAAATAGATAATAGGGTTTAAAATAACATGTTGAAAATTACACTGGAATTAGCAAAATTTAAAATCTTAGGAAGAAAAATCCTAATTTGTATGTGAAAATGTTTTGAACTGAGGAAAATTAAGACTAGCAAGAGTAGATAGGGGTTGTCTAGTAGGAATGTTAGACCCATCAGCCATCTGATTATGCTGCGACTGATACTAGCGTGTAGTTTTCACCCAGTAAATTATCAAGTGGTGCAGTAGAAAAAGCATGGTATGTAGAATCATAAGACTCATAGTCTGGGGTCACCTCTACTACTCACTTGGCCATGTGGTTTGGAACACATCACAAAAGATTTATGAGCCTTCGCTTCTTCACATCTAAAATCGTGATTATTTTGCCAACTCCATGGAATTGTTTAGACTTTAGAGGATTACATAGGATACAATGGACTAGTTCCTTGAACAAGTACTTGCCCCCAAAATGTTACCATTTTTTCTGGTTGTGTGACTGATTTTGCAATCAGCAATTTAATAATAATGCATTCAACAGGTTTATAATATGCATTCAATGTGACTCTTGCATATATCTCATAAAAACAAATTTGAATATTTTTCTCATTTTATCACTCACATATCTTTGAGAATGGGATCATAGTTTTATTTTGATAATGAAGTAATAGAGTCAATTCCTGAACAGGCTAGTTGACTTTAATGAGAAATACCCATTTATTCACTCATTCATTTCATTTTCAACTCTTAAATCCATAATGGCCCCTTCACTAACTGCACTAACTGGGGTTCTTATATTAATAAGATGGACCAGATGCTTCTATCACCTCCAAAAAATCTTTGTAGGCAGAGCAATAAAGAGTACTGAATCATTTTAAGAAGTCGCATAGACAATGACTTTTGACCATGGAAGGACTGGGCTTGATCAAGCAAATTCTATTTCAAAGTTTTACTTGCAAGGTTATTTATTACTGTGTGGAATCTCACTCCTGTGGCTGGGGTCAAGAAAAATGGGGACACAGGTGTCTGCCTATTTGCACAGGCATTAAAAAGTGTTGTAAAATGAGCTTCAGCCTTTTAAGTTACTGTCTTCTTCTTTATAATAATAATCTTTTCCATTTTACAAGGTCTATATTATTTTTAGGTAAGAAAACACTGTAGAGTTCATGTTTTATTGTTCCTTGCAGTTATATAAATTATATTTGGCCAAAACAAATGTAATTCCTACTGTGTGAACTGGGAACCCAAAATGTTGATTTTCCTCAAGTTATAAACAATGTGAAGATATGTTATACTGGGTCACAATTTTCCAGAGCAGAGCAAAATATATAACTCAGTTTTAATAACAAAACTGCATATATCATTAAAGTTTCCTACTCCACACAGAATGTATTATATTACTCTGCCCAGCAAGAGACATCCTTTGTGTAGACCACAATTTCTAAAATACCATTTGATTGAATAGAAAACAGGTTAGCCATTTGTTAGTTTAAAAGAAAATATAATGGTTAAATGCTCATGGACATTCTGCTTTGTCTTTGCTAGTGAATATTAAATTTCTTCTCACTAAGTTTAAATGTCACAGATTTTGTAAACAACAAGGTCTGGGGGAAAACCATTATGACCCTTTTCTGACTATTAGATGAATCTTCATATTTTTAGCAACTTAGAAGCAGATGTCCTTTCCTTTGCAGCACCAATAAACCTTATTTACACATGTACTATATCAACTTCAAGACTTATTGTAATTATTTACGTACAAGTCTGCCTCCCCAAATAGACTTGCAACTTAACAAGGCAAAATCCAGACTGCATTATGTTTGTATTCTGGGCCCCTGGTTCAATGCCTACCACAAAGTTGGAGCGCTAGAAATACTAAGTAAAAGAATGTATGCTGAAAAATCACCACCAAATTGTTAATTTACCCACCCGCCTGTTCCTTTCAGAATAATTCCAAAATTTAGGAAACTGCAAGTACTATCTTTACAACACTGATAGGAATCAGGAAATATTTCCTTTATTAAAAACTCACAGATGGGACTATTAGCTAGTCTGTCCTGCTTATTTCACAGATGGGGATTTCAGGGACCAGAACAAGGAAGCTTCTTTACTCTTGCTATACCATAAAACTGATACCAATTATGTTTATGTGATATAAAAGTAGTACATGTTAATTCTAAACATTTTGACAAGTTCAAACATACATAAAGGAGCCAACAACCACATGAAAAGATAACTTGAAGAATCATTAAATGTAAATCAAAACCACAATGAGGTATTACCTCAAACGTATGAGGACAGCTAATATAAAGCAAAGCAGAAACCAGAAACTACCAAACGGTGAGTATGTGGAGAAACTGGAACCCTTGTGTGCTGTTAGCGGGCTTGTAAAATGGTGCAACTGCTATGGAATAATATGACAGTTCTTCCAAAAATTAAAAATAGAATCACGGCATGATCTAGTCATTTTACTTCTGGGTATATATCCAAGAGAATTGAAAGCAGGGTCTGGAAGAGGTATCTGCATGCCCTTGTTTATAGACGCAAAACCCAAATGTCCATCAGGGTATTAATGGACAAACAAAATAAGAAATGGAATCTTACCCAATCTTAAAACAGGAAGGTAATCTGTCACATTCTACAACATGGATGAACCTCGAGGACATTATTTTTAGTAAAACATTCCAGTCACAAAAAATCAAATGCTGTATGATTTCACTAATATGAGCTATCCAGATTAGTCAAATTCATAGAGACCGAAAATAAAATGTGATTTTCAGGGGCTACAGGGAGGCAGTACCGGGGAGTTGTTGAATGCGTGGAGTCTCAGTTTTGCAAAATAAAAATTTCTGGAAATATGTTGTGCCATAATGTGAATATACTGAACACTACTGAATATACACTTAAAAATGGTTAAGATAGTATTTTATTTTATATTATTCTTTCCACACTTAAAAATGTATAAAAATACACATAAAGGAAAAGTTTAAAAAATATATAAAATAACATCAGAAAAGGTATAATTAATATATTTAGTTGTTTTATGCCATATTTATATATTGGAGATCATATTATATAATAATATGCCTTATTTTTATAACAAACATAAGACAAAAACATTTTTAACTATCGAAATACCAACTTAAAAGGTTCAATGAGAGCTCATAATATGAATAAACCATAGTTTACTTAACCACATCCCAATATTTAAATTATCATACTTTTAAAAAATTATTTATTTATTTATTTATTTTTGAGATGGAGTCTCACTTTGTTGCCCAGGCTGGAGTGCAATGGTGCAATCTTGGCTAACTGCAACCTCCATCTCCTGAGTTCAAGCGATTCTCCTGCCTCAGCCTCCTTGAGACTACAGGTGTATGCCACCATGCCCGTCTAAGTTTCATATTTTTAGTAGAGATGAGGTTTCACCATGTTGGCCAGGCTGGCCTCAAACTCCTGACCTTAGGTGATCCACCTGCCCCAGCCTCCCAAAGTTCAGGGATTACAGGTGTGAGCCACCACGCTCGGACTAAATTATTGTACTTTTGTAAGTAATGTTTTATTTCCTATTTTTGTACATTTGTTGTCTACCTTTCTGATTAAGATAGAGTCTCAGAAGTGAAATTAAAGAATGAACATTTAAAACTATCTGCCATATATTGTGAAATTTAATATTGTTTTACTATTCATTGATAGAAGTAGGAGATGAATGGCTCTGTGCTATCACACCATCTTCTGCATTGAGTCTTCTTCGCTTTCTTATCATCGTCATCATGATTATCATCAATAAATTTGTAAGGAAGGAAACAGGACTGCTTATTGATTTTCATTTCTATGCTAGTTAGTAAAACTGATACAACTGAATGTACTTTCCAGTCACTTGTGTAAATTATTTTTTTACATTCAGATAGAGCATAAATTGATGAATATTTGAGACCGTCATGAAGAAACTTAATTTTTTATCTATCATATTGGGCTGCAAATATTTTTCCTAGCTTCACATCTATTTTTAAATTCTGTTTTGTAAGTATACAATTATAAATCTCTGTATAGAGACGTATTTAATTTATTTTTATTTAAATTTTTATTATTTGATTTTCAACTACGGTATAGACAATGATTTTGAGATTTAAGTGAACACCTCATGAAATATTTAGTAAAATTTTCAGTACTATATCTTGAAAAGTCTTGTAGGAGTTTGCATAGGACAGTTTAGGACCTACACGTGAAGTCTGAAATAACTGGTGCAACAACATCAATGGCAATCATAACGACAAAAACAAGAAAAAAAAAAAAAAACCTGTAGCTACATCTCTTTGAGTGTCTGCTTTGTGCCAGGCACTGAGTTGACTGATGTAACTCATCAGCTTAAATCATACAACAGCCTTATGAGGCACGTGCTATTATTATCACCATTTTTTTGCGGAGAATCCAAGAGGCATAGATATTTTATGTAATTTGCTACAATCACTCAGTGTTTAGTTGGAACTGAGTTTTGACTTCAGTCCATCTATCTTCAGAAATCTGGGGCTCTGTCACCACTGAGATATGTTGCCTCTAAAAGTTACTAAGCTGCCTCAAAATCTTTGCAGGATTCATTTAAGGACTTACTAAAATTGCCTTTATGTTTCTAGATGTTTTAGTTTTTTCCTTAATATTTTGGATTTTGCAATGCTTTTACTGTTTTTGGATGGCTTTTAATTTTTTCTCATTATATTTTCTTATTGATTACTTTTAGTATCCACACACTCTACTGAATTCTTACTAATGTTAAGTGGTTACAGTTAATTTTCTTGAGTTTTCTAGTTGTTATTTCTTATGGAAATTGTATTCCTACTTGTGTTCAATATCTTGTAGTAACAGCCACAAGTTCTAGAACCATTGAGTACTAAAGGGCAGAACATGTATGTGTGTTTTGTTTCTAAATATAATGGATATCATTTAGGTTTTCACAACTAGGCATAGTGACGGTTGTCAGGTTAGTAAAGTATTACTTATCATGTTTTATGTGTATTTTATATTTAAGATTTTCTCAATAAAAATAAAAGTTTTATTGTATTTAAAACCACTTGGCATTTTATTTAGATGATAATATACGATTTTTAACCCCCTTCTTTGTCTTACATAAAAAATAAAAATGGCATCTACATTTCCATGGCAATTGTCATACTCTAATCAGTTTTAAGCAGTTTACATGCATTTTCATACATCATCTTCACAAAAACCCTGTGCGGTAGGCACTGACATATTGTCTTTTCCAATTAACAGATGAGAGAACTGAAGCAAAGAATGGTTAGTGACCTGTACAAGGCTATATAATGAATTAAAGGAAGACCTGAGATTTAAGTCCAAAATTATCTGCCTCTAGAGCCAATGTTCCTAATCACTCAGACACATGAGGATACCAGTGGAGAGAGGTTTTGAGAAGTCCTCCAGAATTAAAACCTGTAACAGGGAGACAGAGAAGGCCACTGTATACATACCTACAAGAACTGGATGCAGCTTAACTCTAAAAGGAAAAAAAAATTAGTCTAGTAAGAGTGCTCACTTTTTGGAAATTGTCTCAGGGTACACTTTTATATGTCAAGGGTAAGTTTCTTGTATACCCATCCCCTTTTCTATCTCTTCATAATGGGCAGTAAGTGAGACATATAAAGGAAAAGATCAATTGTTTCGCCTGCTGATCAGAACTTCAGAACTGTCCTCTGATATTTTGAAATCAGGAACTCTGAGTGACCATGAGGAATCAGAGAGGAGGAAGGTTGCAGGCAAGGAGTGTCTAAGCAAGAAATTGGGCTCATGGATATGAGCATTCAGGTGCCAGCTCAGAGACCAGAGAAACACATTCCATGAGATATTATTCAAGAGATTTATTACAAGCAGGAGCTTTATACTGGTGGCCCTACTGATTTGCCCTCTCTTTAGAATGCTCTGCCTCTTTTGCAAAATATCAGAACTAGTTGCACCATATAGAAACAGTATATGTAATCAGACAAGCAGGGAATCTCAACTATGAAAAGGGAGAAGAAGGAAGTGACAGTCAGGAATCATCTAATGTATAAGGAAAACCACCAATGAGAAAGAGAATAACTGAAGAGCTAAGAGCAGAAGGAAATAAAGAATAAATATAAAAATAAATATAAAAACAGAAGGATACCTTCCTCTTGACATAGAAAATAAGAAATGGAATCAGACTAGAAGAAGTTTGTTTCTCCTAGTTAGTTCTCAGGATTAAAACATCTGGCCATGTGCCTGGCCATTCCTTTTTCCATTTTTTTCTCCTCTAAACATATTGAAGGCCAAACTATATTTTGAGGACTATGTTTAAGACACTAGGGAATGTTTAGAATGATTTTCATCATATGTGGTTAACGTTTTTGGAAGTTTTGGCTCTTAAATTCACAGGCTTTAGTTATTTGTAATATTGATCTGTAATAAATAGTCCACTTCTTCGTGATGGTAAATAAGTGACACATCACTCCGTTATACTTTTGTTGATTTGCACACTACTACGGGGAGTGTATTTTATTTAACAATGCAAAGAGTGTCCATGTTAAGTTTGTTTTGTTGCTATGTGTACTGTTTAGTCCCAGGATACCTTGAACTGGAAAGAAGCCCTGTTGAGGGACAGGATTACATAATTCTACCTTTTTGGTAAACTGTTTTGGGCCTCGGTGTCCCCAGCTCAGATATCTGTATATCAAGAGGCATGTGGATCTCGCATTGTTCATTCTGATTTGACCTTAAGCCAAAACCTTTTACAGAAGCCTGAGTCCTGGGGCTTCTTCCTGAGCAACCACCACTGTCATAGAAGTAGCCAATCCCTGCTTATTACTGCAACTCGTGTTGACAGGAAATGGGGTGCTGACCCTTTTCAAAAGAAAGGCAATGAAAAACTATTCCCCTGCAGGTGGAGTTTTCTGGCTCATGTATGGCTTAGAAATGAAATTAGCCATTGGAAATTTCATTCAGGTCAGTCCAAACACTACAAAGTACAACAAATGCAGACCTTTCCACATTTGGTAATCAAGTTCAATTTCTCTCCACATTATTCCTCTAAAGCAGACAACTGTGAAACCTGTATTAATTGCCTTCTGTGTACCCAGTTGCTGCCAGAGTTTACAGATACAGACCATCCCGAATGAGCTTTTACAGGGTTGTGAGCTAGTCTGGGAGACGAGAGTCACCCACACAAACTGCTCAGTGAACAGGCAGCGTATGACAGAGTGGCCAGCCATGTGGTTCAGACAATAGAGTTCAGAGCCAACAACAACTGCTAAGTGCATCGTAGAGCCAACTTCAAGAGAAATGGGAATATGACAAAATGGTATAAATAAGATGCCTGATTTGGATATTTCAACCTCCACTGTTTCCTTTCTTCCAACTTCAATTTCCCTGTAACAGATCAAAACCACTTTGTAGCAGTAATCACTTTAAAATGAATTTTAAACTAATAGGCTCCCACTCTAAAACAGTGTTCTTATTTTGGATGGATCCACCATCCATCCATCACCCTGACCCACTCCAGCAAAATGATGCATAATCCATCTCAGAGCTTTCTGCACATTGTTCCCCTGTTCAAACACATAAATGGCTTCCTACAGCCAACATCAATCAGCCTCTGCTTGGAGATCCATAGTCTCTCCAGCAGGGCCCTGCCTCACCCCGATTTGCAGCACAATGGCTTTTCCTTCAGGACCTCTTCAAGAATGTCCTCCACAACCCACCATACTGACTCCCTCATTCTGTGATCTCACGCGGTCATGCTAGTTTATGGAGTTGACGATGTACCTGATTTGATTGTTTCCTAAATGCAGGCCTTGTTTTGTCCAGTTGGATGACATTTTTCTCCAATACAGTCCTATGCAATGTGATTGGAACTATTTTTACTTTCCCTACAAGAGAGGGCACATGGTAGGTGTTTAATACATCTCCAAATTGTTAGCGTTAACTTCAGTGGAACTAGAGCGTATGGTAATTGTGAATGCAGGCCCAGGACTAGGGGTGGGCAAGTGAGGTGCTTAGCCTATAAAATTTAAGGTAGCACTCACTCTCAGCTGTGGACCCTGCACTTGTAGGACCCTGAGAGTGAGTGCCACCTTAAACTGTGTCCCAGATGCTTTGCTCCTCTTATCCCAGAAGCTGCCATAATTGGATGGTATTATGAAGCATGTTTGCAAAATCTATATTTCCACCATAGAAATAAACATTGACTTTGTTTCTCCCATAGCTATTCATAAACAAGATCCACATGTGTGTATGCATACCAAGAAGCTAATTCATCCACAATGGCCCTCTACAATGGTGACAAAAACATAAAAATAGTAGAGTTAAGATGCCACCTCCTCCCTCAACCTCAAAGAAGGTGTGGCTTTGGTGAAAAGAACTTGGCTCTGAGTCAGATCTAACTGGCATCAAAGCCTAACTTCACTCTTCGCTACCTAATCTTAACTGAACCTCTACATATTATTTGGCAAAGCTGTAGAATAATAATGAGAAGACACACACACAAAATAAATAAATAAAAGGAGGAGGGGGGAAAGAAAAGCAGAAAATAATCATAGATTTTTAAAATGAGGATTGATTAGAATTACATATAAGAAAACAGCACTAAATAGCACTTCGTTATTATTTTTGTTGTTGATAATTCTGGTTTGCTGTTTTGAGTGCACTCATAAAAACAGTTGCTCATGTATAGCATTCTATGCACATGTATCTCTAAATGCACATAAAAATCATAATATATATTAATGTACCCATACATAAATTGCTTACCTAATAATGCTAGTGAGAGATAAAATAGAAATTCTAGTCACTAAAGAAAATCAAATGTTGAATGGGGCCACTTAGAAAGTGTCTTTGGATTCTATGTTCTATGCAACAGGAACCATTTCTTTTATTGACCTTCAAATTGGGAGACATCAAAGTTAATGGCAGCATTGATACCATTAACAAAAACTGAAGACACAATAGGAGCAGAAGATATGGGGACAAAATGACACATTCAAGCTTGAATTGCTAGTAGCACCCAAAGCAAACAATGATTTCTCTGGGAACAAAATGGCACTAAAATGAAGTGGGTCATTTTCTTACCATTCATACCCAGGCAGTAAAATATATACCATCTATGCCATGATGTAAAACACTCACGTGCTTTCTGAAGCTGTTCCATTTAGATATCATGGTTATGTGTGTTGTGATGAACTTGGTAAATTCATAAAATAGTCTTCCAGTTGAGACCATTTCTACCATTAGGCATGATGTTTCCATGACTTATTCTGGCAAGAGTAGACTGGCATTGAATCAATAAATATGTATATAGGTAGCTTTGAACCACAAATGATCTTACGTAAATTAATAAGGCAATTGAGACTGTGTAGACCTGTTTTGAAAAATAATTCATAAGACCAAAATGGAAAATAATTGTAAAATATTTACTTCTGGCCACTACATTAGGGTTATATGTAATCAGGTCACTTCCCGGGGCCTAATGAACTATTAGCAGTGACACCAGAATTTGGATATAAAAGTTTTTACATAAGCAATTTGAAGAATGAATTCATTCGTTTTTCCAATGTCACTGAAAAGATATATATTTGCTCGTCTTTTATTTCTTATTTTTTTGCTTGAGTTGTTTTAATTCTTTTACTTGAGTGTCCTGAGAAGTTTTATGTATGCCAAATTCTGAGGCAGTGACATTAAAGAGAGGTTTAAACCTTATTCTAAGGACAGTGGCCTTTAAAATATGATTTGAAAGAGAAAAGAAAGGAACCAATGAAATGATCTAATATTAATACCCCATTAATAATGTAGTATTTAGGACAAGTAAGTAAAGCCAAATGTTAACCGAAATGTCTCCCAGTTGGGTCAGAGTCTGAACATCCCCCTGCAGTGTAAACACTCCAGCCTTGTGCCCAGGAATTACAATGTGGGCCAAGGACTAACTCACAGCTTTCGGTGCCCAATCAGCATGCAGTTAAAACAACTAAAATAACATGACATAAAGACACAAGACACGTTGAAAAACAAACTCTTACACACACATGACAAAGAAAAATACTTGATATTAAACAGCCCCAAATTATCTTCTATTAACAGCTCAATTCTATTGGTAGCCCACCACACTGATGGCTTGAAATCTTCCAGCACTCATTTAAGAGTCTCAGGGAGTCTGATTTACTTCTCAATGGCCCATTCATCCTTTGAACGTTTACTCTGTAGCCTGTGCAGTTATAACCTAAGCTGGATTTCATACATGAAAACTGACCTCCAGCACCCAATATTTTTGCCAAGTCTCAGTGAAGGCTCTTGGAATAATTTAGAGTTTGCCATAATGACAAGTTTAAGATTCAATTAATAAGTGTAGTAATTTATTTTTACTATGTTTGTAAAATGGCTTTAGCCCAACTAATTTCACTCCCCTTCACAGCCAAAAGGCCTAAGATAGCAACGATGATCCTCGCAGCAACACACAACAGGGCAGTTCGCTCTTGGTTGTTTAATGCCACGTCAAACACAAAGATTTCTACAGGACTCAGATGGAGACATTTCTCTCTTGCCTTAGTTTGGGCAAAAAATTGATGTCCTTCAGATAGCTGTAATGGATGGTGAGGACGGCAGAGAGTAATCAGGCCCAGCCCGAGGCAAATGCCAAAAGTTTCCCAGAAGGATAAATCTTGTTTCCTGCCTTACTTCACAGAATTAAGCCTTAAACAAGTCATGTTCTGTGGCTTGGATGCTGTGTTTATATCAGCTTTGGCTCCCTGGCTTGTGGTTGGGAACATTGTATTGGTCTGTAACTCAGGAAGGTTTTCCTGAAGCAAGAAATCACTATGTCGGTATCTTTATCTCCCATTCCATTTTATTTGTTCTATTAATACTGGCAAACGAGCTCTGAATGGTAAGTGGATTCATAGGAGACAGTGACATTGACCAGGTGCAGCTCGCAAAGCCAATGATTTAGCGCTCTGTTTCGGTAACCGTCTTTCCCAGGAGTTGTATGAAAGATGCCTCTTCATAAAGGATTTCGTTTTGGAAAATAATAACAGCACCTCATCTGTGCATGGCTCATTCTCGGTAGGTTCAGGAAAAAATCTTTTCTGTGGAGTTCAGGGTAGGCTGAGACCTTGTGGTCTCTCAGTGTCTTAAATGAAACCAAATCCTCTGGGGAGTGCATTCATTTATGGTTAGTAACAGGCGACTTCCTGTTTCGAAGCAAAATGGGCTTGAAGAGGCTTATAAAAAAGACTCAAAAGGTTTCTTGGACATCAAATGACTCTAGTAAAACATTTCGATGAGTTAAGTGTAAATGTACCAGCAGCATACGGATTAAATTCCCTTCTAAATAAACATTAACAGAGAACATGTTTGGCAAAATGCATTTTGAGTTTTGCAAAACTGAAAACATTTGAAAAAGGAGTGTGAGATATTTGATGAACTCAGAAAGCAGCCGGATTGCCCATCCCATACTTGAATATTGTCTTTGGATGTTCTGCAGATGTCAAATAAATTAGGATGCAGATATTAAGACCAATGTCTGCTGCAGAAATGATCAGCTGCCTGTCAGTTAGGATGGCGTTTTTGTGTATACCCTGTTCGTGTATGTGTGGCTGAACAGAGCCGTGGGGGACCTGTAACCCTTTCCTCACCTACAGGCATCCTCCCTTTCCTGGATTCAGTCCTGTAAGACCTTTTATTATTCACAGCTCTTCCATCTGTTTTGCTGCCTGTGAGATATTTTGGCTTCCAAAGAGGATTCCTGCTTTGCTATATATTTACAATGAAACTTTGGTGTCACCAGGCAGATGACAGCCTTGGCGTTGCTTGGGCCAAGGCCTTTTATCCAGAAGCCACTGTCCTCGTCAAGACTCTTATTATCTCTCACTATCTCTTTTTTCTGACATGCTCCCGAAACAAAATTTATGAATCCTTTGAGATGGTGGAAGTAACGACGGAACAGAAAAGATTAAGGGGAGAAACATTTTAAATGGGCCACCAACTACACTTGGTAACTATTAATAAATGTAGAAAAGAATCAAACGTTACTCTAAGGGTTGAGTTTTAGTGATCGTATCAATGGTGAAGCCACTGAATTAGAGAAGCACCTTTAGAAATCTTTTCCATTATTAAGTCTGATAGAGCAGGAAAGCACACCATTTGTATCCTTTTTATAAAGTATTTGACCCAGAATAACAAATAGTCATGTCACAGGGCAAATCTCATATGATTTGGATGCCATTACCTTGTAGTCTGTAACTACACTGACTTACGATCATTTTGGTTTTGAATGGTACTTGCAGAAAGTAGATTTGAAGAAAATTAACAGGCCAATACTCGGCAAGTATTATGTTGAAATATTTAAAAGATTAAAAGTTTAGCTCAGTGTATTTTGGCAAATAATATTATTTATAGATAAGTAATGACCCACTACCATACCAAAAATAATACAGACAATTAATATGCTACTCATTAAAATGTTTACTAAAGCCTTTATAGGGAGCACCCACTTCTCTTTTTGGAATTATTGAACAGCCAAACAACCGTCAGCATCTTCTCTTCTGCTATCTTCATGCATTCATTAAATGGTTTTCCATTAAGGCTGTGGTGAGACTGAGTCTGTTGACTTCATTTCTCTCTACTTTCAAATTACTCTACATATGGTTGCCAGAGTTTTCTTTCAAAAGGACTAGTCTTGTCATTCACCTGTTCAATAATCTTTGATGCCTACCAGGTGCCTCCAGAATAAAGCCCAAGTTCTTTAACTTGGTGTTCAAAACCCTCTGGTCTGGCCCTAATTCACATTTCAGTTCATGTTCCACCACCTCATAATCCGGTCATACCAGACAAATTCTCTATTCCCAGATTCCACATGTTCAATATGCTCTCATAGTATTTACCACTTCTTCTCAGCATTTTGCACACTTGTAAATATTTGCTAAATTATTTGTTTAAACAGAGTTTCCCCACTAAACTCCCAGTTAAGTGAGGGTGAGGGTTGTGTCTGCCTCATGTATTCTGTATCCCCAGGTTCCATCTTAGTGACTGGAACACAGTAGGTGCCCTGTGATGTCTGTGAACTCATGGAGCCACTTGTCTGTTTTCTTGTGGCACTGACTGTGTATTTATATTTTAGTACTTATGAATTCCATGTTTGTCTACCTGAATTTCCTACCACGATTCTTTGAGCCTAGAGGACAGAGACTGTGCCTTAATTTATTTCTGTATCCTTAGCACCTGGGGTAGTGCTTAGCACACCCTGAATACTCAATACATATTTGACAAAGTTAAACAAGAACATTTGCTGCACGTTCTAAAAAATCATCCCATTCCTTAGGTAAGCCTACAGGCATGACGACAATTTTGAGATGTAGCTCTCACTCCTGCATCAAAGGCAACATTCTAGGGCAGGCAAGTTATAGGTCATAGGCCAAGTCTGTCTGCCACCATCTCTTTTTGTAAATAATTTTATTGGAATATTCATTTTTTATATTGTCAATGTCTGCTTTCATACTACAATAGCAGGTTTGAATAATGGCAGAGACCAAGGACTTTGAAGGCCCCAAATATTTACTATTTGGTCCTTTATACATGAAGTTTGCTGACAACTGTATACACAAATAAGTATACTAATTGTATTTACTTTATATAGTGGTTATAAGCATTAAATTAAGTAACATCTATAAAATGCTTAGTACCATCTTTGGCACATATTAATTGCCAAACTGTTAGGTATCATCATCATTATAGTATCTTAATTATTTTCTAACAGTTACAAACATAGGGTAGAGCAGGCCAGTAGAAACTTGATACAGGCCATTCTAGAAGCAGGGATGGAAGAAGTCAAATCTAAGAGCTTGGCAATGAGGGAGAAGCAAAGTACAAAACAGACCTAGTGTCGATAGAAATGTCATTTGATATAAGTATATGACCATCATATACCCTGATGGTTTTATTATTACCCCCATTTTACAGATGAGAAACCTAAGACACCAAATCCTCGTCCATTTGTCACAGATGCTCAAGCTAGAAGTCATGGAGCTGACACTAGAAATCAGAACTTGAAAGGACTGTCCACATGAGAAAGAAACCGAAACAAGTCTGTTCCCTGTCCCAGGCAAACAATCATCAACTGGGCTAGGACGACCTGGGAGAAAGAATGACCAAAAACAACCAAAACCTCGCAAATCGTGGGAATCCAGAAAGGAAGCACTGACACTGAAATCAATCTCCTGACTAACAAACACATAAAGAGCTGATGAATGTCATTAGTGATTAGGGGAATACTAATCAAGACCACACTGAGGTATTATTTAACAAACAGATACATTTTGCAATTGGCACGTGTTTTAAAAGTCTGATATTGCCAAGTGTTTGAAAGGATAAATTGGAGGAAGATTTTAAACTTTGCTAATGGGATTGTAAAACTGGTGCAACTACTTTGGAAAACAGCTTTACGTGACCTTTTAAATTTGAACATTTATATATCTTATGGCACAACAAATACACTCTTAGATATGAACCCAACAACACTTGCACATACACGAGAGGGAATATGTGCGTGAATGTTCATGACAGCCTTATTTTTAACAGTTAAAGCCTAGGTACTCATCAACAGAAGAATTCACAAGGTCTCAGCAAAGGACTTTCACACAACAATCCAAACAAATGAAGGATAGCAATTGACAATATGGATTCACCTTAGTAATATAATATTAAGATATTAAGCAGAAGCTAAATAAGTCACTAATTTTTTCTTGTAGCATGGCATGATACATTTCTGTGAAGTTAAAAGCTATTGAACTAAATAAAGAACATATAGAGATGCAGTAAAAATATATAGAATTTTAAAGAATATATAGAGATGTAATAAAAATATAGCAAGAAAATGATGAACACAGGATTTAGAAAGCTAATTTCTTAGTATGTAGGAAAGCAATTTCAAGATCCAATTGAGCTGTGTTTCACAAGGGTGGCAGTTCATTTATTCCTTTATTCAGTCAACAAATAGTATTAAATATTTATATATTAAATGCTGTTAAATGATAAAAAGTATTAAGCACCGATTAGGTGTAAAGCACTGGGATAAGTATAAGGGTAGTAATGGAACAGACAAACATGACTTTTAACCTTCAAAAGGCTGTATTACAATGGGAGAAAGGTCCGGAGAAGACTAGGATTCAAAAAGTGTTTCTATCTTAATGAGGACAATAACATTCATCTTTGGAAATGGAAAGAAAGAGTCTTCCTAAATTTCTTCCTGTGTGTAATTGTAAGTTCAGCAGGACTTCTGTAAAACAAATCCAAGTTGATAATAAATAACAAATTCATAGATACCTGAGCATAGCATACCAAACCAACGCTCAGAAGATATATTTATAGAAAATATAAAGACATTGGTAACTACTTCACACCACTTACACATGGCTCCTCTTCCAGCACCATGAAATTGATTATTTTAATTGATGAATTTATTAATAAACACAGACTGAATCCCAACTATACATAAGTCCCTGTGCTTGAATTTGAATGGTCTTAAACAGTTGTTACTCAAACTTTAACAATATGCCCCAGCAGCAATGACTACAGAAGAGATTTGGTCTCAAATAGTACAGATTTGTGAGTTCATATGAAGCTATACAGCTGGCAAGGTTGACACAAGATATTTTCCTAATGACTCATGAAGGTGACAGGTTTGCATAAAGCATGACTCCTTGCAATTTATTTGGGAGAGTTGCTGATTGCTGCATGCTAAAAGCTCAAAATTCTAACTCTGGTTAATGAAAAGGTTAGAGCTGCTGAGTCTGACATGAAAGACCTGTGAACTACCCAGGCTAGGGGCATCCTCACTTTTTCCTGTGCACAACTCTGATTACTCTGTAGTTAGTCCTCACAACTTTCCCTTTGAACCTTACTCTCTTACCTACATAACTTCATTGTCACTAATTCCTGATATCTTTCTCACAAGTTTTCATCTTGATTTGACTTTACTTTCTGCTCACAGAAAAGAAACAGGTTAACTTCTTCTATTTCTTTGTTTGTTTTTATAAACTAACTATTGGATGAGACCAGCTTAATGCATCCCCCAACAATCTGTTCGCTAGGACCCACAAAGTAGGACTTAAGTTTATTGTTGAAATTACTGGTAAATTGGATTCCATGCTCCTATTGAGGGACTGCATCAAAGTGGGCACTACTAATTCAATTATCTGCTAATCCGAACAGAGGACCAGACCGAGAGCTGGAACCATGATAATAGGGCTTCCACGTTCTTCTGCAGAACAGCCTCAGGGAACTGTCCACACTGCCCAGGATGCCACCTCAGGGTGAAACATCCAAGATTTGCTAGTTAGTGAGGGACACTCATCAGTAAGAAGCTTTCTTTCTAATTTTAACCAGTTGTCAGTACATAAGACAGGAGGGAATCAGAACCTAACTGTGGCTGTAAGAATGGATGTTGTGCAGAAACCACGTGACTGGGAGAGTGAATCCCTCTATCAGGCAGGAAAAAATAATGCTCAAAAGGGAAGAGCCAAGGACTATTGGTCCACACTGTGAAAGAAGCAGTTTGTTTGTTTTGTGGGTGCGCTTTTCCCTCTGTAAACATGTTCTGAGGCCAAGTGATTGGTAAATGTTTTATAAACTGGAAGTATAAACACAGACATTCTCTTCCAAAAATGGATCTCTAGGACTTCCCTAGGGAACTCGCTCTTGTTTGTTCTAAATTCTGAACCTGGTTTTAATGAAAATGTTACACGTCTAATATTTGAGGTGGTAATCCTGACATCAAAGAGAAGAAATGTTGAAAAGGTTTTGAGACACCCTACCAAAAGCCATTTCTGCTTCTGTGAAGGACACTTAAATTACATGCCTTAATAAAGGAAGAAAAGAGACGAGTGTGTGTGTGTGTGTGTGTGTGTGTGTGTGTGTGTGTATGTGTGTGTGTGTGTTGGGGTGGGGAGAGCTGGTACTTTGAAGAGCATTCTCCTTTAACCACATGTTCTGAGGCCTCTGCTCATGCCAAGTGACAGTTCAGTTTTCAAAGTCATTGAAGTCATTGTTATGTGGTTCTATTTTTTTTCTCATGACACCTTTCCTCTAACCTGGTCATGAGTTGGTTTGAAAGAGCTATTTTGATAGAGCCCGGAAATATTAATAAAACATCTATACATTGAGTGTGTTGAATGCTTCACCAAATGGTGGACTTCTAAATAAATGGTCTCTCTGCAAATAAGATGGTTCTTCCCCTACCAATCTGCAGAGGACTGGCCTAGAATTTGGCTCCTAATACATCTGTTCTCAGTTCAAGAGCCCCTACTCTGCCCTCCTAAATGATATTATTCAGCTGGATAAGAAAATTACAATATTTAAACTGTCCTGGAAGAAGAACAATATGTTTGGGGAGAGCATGTAGTGTGTACTGCCAAGGGAATGTACTCAAGTGTTCAGAGACAATCCTTCCTTACACATCTTTCCAGAAGAGAGAGGGCAGAGACTCTACAGCCTCTTACGTAAACCTTGCCCTGTGCAAGGGTCCCCTGGGGTTTCCCTAGAGGGTCGTATTTGTGGAGAATGTCTATTTTTGGTTTATGAAACACATCCTTTGTCATTTGGCTTTGGATCATATGTACATATTGGGGGATCTCTGAGAACACACACAGCGTCTTGATAGTTTCTGTGCTTTTCAGTCAATTGGTGTTTAACTGCAGGCATCATCTCACCTCTGAGTTTTACATTTACTGAATCTGATATTGTGAACAATATATGTTTCCTGATTTCTCCCCCTCCCCTTCTTCTCCCTCCCAATTCAAATCAACACAGTGGAATTACCAAACTAAAGAAAAGAGGTTGGTCACTAGTCTTACCCTATAAGGAACCACCAACTAAAAGCTGAAATACAATTATCTCTTTTTCTCACTCTCACTACTCATAAAAAGATTAGGATATTTTTCCACTTTTCTCACTTATACCAGTGCTAGATTTGCAGTCTTCTCTTCCCGCCTTTCCTCTGGTGTCCTCTTCATTGAACTTAAACTCCATATTGATGACCACCCCTGCCCCCAACCCATTTATCCTCAGCCTCCTTAAATCTAGTGTATTTCAGCCAACTTCAAGCACAGCCACCCTTTGACTTTCATCAGTGAGTAAACACATGTCTACTTGTGAAAAACCATACAATGAACACCCCACTCTTCTGATTTAATCTATCTTTTTCAGACCTAATGCCAACAACCTAGCAAGAGTCCTTGATTTCTCCCAAATCTTAATCGCTTGCCTGTCTCTGTCTCAGCTGAAGATCCACAGACCATTATTCTGACTTCCTAAATATTCAAGGTTCCTACCTCTGTGCTTTAGCACAAATAGCCCCTACACGGGAATAATCTCTGTTTACACACTTCCTAGATATGTGTTAAGACCAAAACACAGTTGCCTTCACAAAGCCTCCTCCTATGTCTAGATGCCAGGTTTAACTTAGTCTTCCTTCTGCTCTTTACAGCACTGTGTTGCTTTGGTATAGTATATAGCTATACTTTGCTATTCAGTTAAGTCCTATCCATGGATACCAATTACAGCAAACAGGATGAGCTTGGTAAATGAGATGACATATGGGACACTGACTACGAGGTCTGTGAGGAGGACAGTGGAGTCTCACTCTGTCGGTTCCTTCATTCTTTGGCCAAATGTCAGCTTTTCATTGAGATCTACTTTGGCCCTTTTTGAAATCATAGCCCCACCAGAACACATGCTGATCCTCTTTCCCGGCCTTACTTTTTTTCTAGAGCATGTATCACTTCTTAACATATTATGTGATGTATCTTGTTATTGTATTTATTATTTATTTTCCCCCATTCACTTGGATGTGAACTCAACAAAGACAAGAATTTTGTCTGTTATGTTTACTGTTGTATCAGAAACCTCAGAATAAACCCTAGAACCAACAGAAGCTGCTTAGTAAATATTGGTCATTGTTGATAATATTGTGGTCAGTCGCATAGCTAGTGCATTTGAGACACAGAGAAGATCATTTTTTAGATCCATTTCCTCTGTATGACAAAATTATTTTAATTTATAGTCAGGAAATAAGGCAAATGATAATAAGAGCCAAAAACAGCAGATGCTGACTAATTTATTTCATTCATATATTTAATCATATTATTAAAAATATAAATATTACAGTTCAAAAAACCCAATTCTGCATAACTATTTATTTAACAGTTACTATATGTAACTAAGAGTTTGAACTTTGATTCTTTGGTTGCAGCCTGATATAAAAATATTGTGTAAATAATTATCTAACAACCAATAAATGAATTTTAAGAAAAACAAAATATCTTAAAAGGTACAATTAAGTCATGCCATTGATTAATGTTTGATTTTATGGACATATTCTTTAGTTTTGCAACAATTAACAATGTTAAAGAATAAAGTTTAGCTAGAAGATACAATTTAAATTCAGTAAAACATTTATATATTCATATGTGAACTAATGTGTACTTATCAAACAGAAATATCATGTCTCACTTCACAGTTCGTATTCTGACCATGGACTTAAATTTTTAAAATAAATAAATGAATGAATAAATAAATAAATACTCCAAGCAGTCACAGGACTGACTCAGATTTTGTCTCTTTTCCTTTAAAAGTCATGATTTTCACATAAACAGAATTAAAAGCAAAAATCATATGATTATCCCAATAGACATAGAAAAAGCTTTCAGTAAAATCCAAAATTCCTTCATGATAATAACTGTCAAGAAACTAGGTGTCAATGAGACCTCAAAATAATAAAAGCTATCTATGATAAACCCATAGCCAATATTATACTGAATGGAAAAAGTGGAAGCATTCTCCTGGAAAACTGAACAAGATAACACTCTCACCACAGCTCTTCAACATAGTACAGGGACTGCTAGCCAGAGTGATCAGGCAAGAGAAAGAAATAAAAAGCATCCAAATAGGAAAAGAAATAAAACTATCTGTCTTTGTGGATAATATGATTCTATACCTAGAAAACACTAAAGAATCTGCCAAAAAGCTCTGGAACTGATAAATGACTTAATTAAGTTTCAGGATACAAAACCCATATACAAAAGTCAGTAGCATTTCTATATACCAATAATATTCAAGCTGAGAGCCAAATCAAGAACATGATCCCATTTACAATAGCCACAAACACACACACATACAAACTTAGGAATACATCTAATGAAGGAGGTGAAAGATCTCTACAAGGGTAACTACAGAACACTGCTCAAAGAAATCACAGATTCACAAACAAATGGAAAAACATCCCATGCTCATGCATAGGAAGAACCAATATTGTTAAAATGGCCAGACTGCCCAAAGCAATCTGCAGATAAAATGCTGTTCCTATTAAACTACCAATGTCATTTTTCACAGAACTAGAAAAAGCTATCCTAAAATTCATATGGTATTGAAAAAAGAGCCCAAATAATCAAAGCAACCCTAAGTAAAAAACAAAAAAGAAAACTGGGGTTATCACATTACCCTACTTCCAACTATCCTACATGGCTGCAGTAACCAAAACAGCATGATACTGGTATAAAAACAGACACATAGACCAATGGAACAGAATAGAGAACCCAGAAATAAAGCAGCACACCTACAGTTATCTGATCTTTGACACAGTTGACACAAATTAGCAATGGGGAAAAGACTTCCTATTCAATAAATGGTGCTAGGATAACTGGCTAACCATATGCAGAATACTGAAACTGGACTCCTACCTTTCACCATATACAAAAATTAGCTCAAGATGGATTAAAGATTTAAATGTAAGACCTCAAACTACAAGAATCCTAGAAAAAAACTAGCAAATACCATTCTGGACATATCAACCTTGGGAAATAATTTATGACTAAGTCCTCAAAAGCAATTGCAACAAAAACAAAAATTGACAAGTGCGACCTAATTAAACTAAGCTTCTGTACAGCAAAAGAAATTATTAACAAGGCAAACAGACAGCATACAAAATGGGATAAAATATTCACAAACTAGATCTTAGTCCAACAAGGGTCTAATACCCAGAATCTAATAAGGAATTTATAAACTCAACAAGCACAAAACAACCTCATTAAAAAATGGGAAAAGGACATGAACAGACACTCCTCAAAAGAAGACACACATCTGGCCAACAAATGTTTGAAAAAACGATGTTCTACATCACTAATCAACAGAGAAATGAGAATCAAAACCACAATGAGGTATCATCTTATACCAGTAGGACTGACTATTATTATAATGTCAAAAAACAACAGATGCTGGCAAAGCTGTGGGAAAAAAAATGGACTGCTGGTGGGATTGTAAATTAATTTAGCCAGTGTGGAAAGTAGTTTGGAACTTTCTCAAAGAACTGAAAACAGAACCACCATTCAACCCAGCCATCCCGTTACTGGGTATATATTCAAAAGAAAACATATCATTCTACCAAAAAGACACATGCACTCACAAATTCATCACAGCATTATTTACAATAGCAAAGACATGGAATTAGATGCCCTGTATTTGATAAAGAAAATGTGGTACCTATATAACATGGAATACTATAAAGTCATAAAAAGAATGAATTCATGTCTCTTGCAGCAACATGGATGCAGCTGGAGGTCATTATCTTAAGTAAATTAATGCAGGAAAAGACAACCAAATGCCATATGTTTTCACTTATAAGTGAGGGTTAAACATAGGGTACTCATGGACATAAAGATGGCAACAGTAGAAACTGGGGACTACTGAAGGGGGGAGGAAAGAAGGGGAAAAAGGGTTGAAAAACTATCGATTGGGTACTATGCTCAGTTACCTGGGCAATGAGATCATTATTAATGCAACCTTAGCATCATGTAATATACCCAGATAAAACATTTGCATGTGTACTGACTCAATTTAAAATAAAAGTTAAAAAAATGTAAGAACATTGATTTTGTATCCTGAGACTTTGCTGAAGTTGCCTATCAGCTTAAGGAGATTTTGGGCTGAGACAATGGGGTTTTTTAAATATACAATCATGTCATCTGCAAACAGAGACAATTTGACTTCCTCTCTTCCCATTTGAATACTCTTCATTTCTTTCTCTTGCCTTATTGCCATGGCCAGAACTTCCAATACTATGTTGAATAGGAGTGGTGAGAGAGGGCATCCTTGTCTTGTGCCGGTTTTCAAAGGGAATGCTTCCAGCTTTTGCCCATTCAGTATGATATTGGCTGTGAGTTTGTCCCAGATAGTTCTTATTATTTTGAGATATGTTTAATCAATGCCTAGTTTATTGAGAGTTTTTAGCATGAAGGGGTGTTGAATTTTATCGAAGGCCTTTTCTGCATCTGTTGAGATAATCACGTGGTTTTTGTCATTGGTTCTGTTTATGTGATGGATTATGTTTATTGATTTGCATATGTTGAACCAGCCTTGCATCCCAGGGATGAAGCTGACTTGATCACGATGGATAAGCTTTTTATGTGCTGCTGGATTTGGTTTGCCAGTATTTTACTAAGGATTTTTGCATTGATGTTCATGAGGGATATTGGCCTGAAATTTTCTTTTTTTATTGGGTCTCTGCCAGGTTTTGGTATCAGGATATGCTGGCCTCATAAAATGAGTTAGGGAGGAGTCCATCTTTTTCTCTTGTTTGGAATAGTTTCAGAAGCAATGGTACCAGCTCCTCTTTGTACCTCTGGTAGAATTCAGCTGTGAATCCGTCTAGTCCTGGACTTTTTTTGGTTGGTAGGCTACTAATTACTGCCTCAATTTCAGAACTTGTTATTGGTCTATTCAGGGATTCGACTTCTTCCTGGTTTAGATTTGGGAGGGTGTATGTGTCCAGGAATTTATCCATTTCTTCTAGATTTTCAAGTTTATTTGTGTAGAGGTGTTTTTAGTATTCTCTGATGGTAGTTTGTATTTCTGTGGGATCAGTGGTAATATGCCCTTTATTATTTTTTATTGTGTCTATTTGATTCTTCTCTCTTTTCTTCTTTATTAGTCTGGCTAGCAGTCTATCTATTTTGTTAATCTTTTCAAAAAAACAACTCCTGGATTTCCTAGAAGAAAACCTAGGCAATATAGTTCAGGACACAGGCATTGGCAAAGAATACATGACTAAAACACCAAAAGGAATTCCAGCAAAAGCTAAAATTGACAAATAGGACCTAATTAAACTAAAGAAAAAAAAACCCATCATCAGAGTGTACAGGCAACCTACAGAATGGGAGAAAATTTTTGCCATCTATCCATCTGACAAAGAGCTAATATTCAGAATCTACAAGGAACTTAAACAAATGTATAAGAAAAAAATAAACAACCCCATCAAAAAGTGGGCAAAGGATATGAACAGACACTTTTCAAAAGAAGACATTCATGCAGCCAACAAACATATGAAAAGAAACTCATCGTCACCAGTCATTTGAGAAATGCAAATCAAAACCACAATGAGATACCATCTCACGCCAGTTAGAATGGCGATCATTAAAAAGTCAGGAAGCAACAGATGCTGGAGAGGATGTGGAGAAATAGGAATGCTTTTACACTGTTGGTGGGAGTGTCAATTAGTTCAACCATAGTGGAAGACAGTCTGGTGATTCCTCAAGGATTTAGAACTAGAAATACCATTTGACCCAGCAATCCCATTACTGGGTATATAACCAAAGGATGATACATCATTCTACTATAAAGACACATGCACACTTATATTTATTGCAGCACTATTCACAATAGCAAAGACTTGGAACCAATCCAAATGCCCATCAATGATAGACTAGATTAAGAAAATGTGGCACATATACACCATGGGATACTATGCAGCCATAAAAAAGGATGAGTTCATGTCCTTTGCAAGGACATGGATGAAGCTGGAAACCATCATTCTCAGCAAACTAACACAGGGACAGAAAACCAAACACTGCATGTTCTCACTCATAAGTGGCAGTTCAACAATGAGAACACATGGACACAGTGAGGGGAACATCACACACTGGGGCCTGTCAGGGGGTAAAGGGCCAAGGGAAGGATAGCATTTGGAGAAATACCTAATGTAGATGACGGGTTGATGGGTGCAGCAAACCAGCATGACACGTGTATACCTACGTAAGAAACCTGCATGTTCTGCACATGTATCCCAGAACTTAAAGTGCAATAAAAAAAGGCAATTAATAAGAAGCAAAAAAGGTAAGAAAAATCATGGGTTATCATTATTTATTTCAAATCAGCTATTTAAATGCAAGAATGGCTAGTACCACAGGAGATGGATACAAATTATACCTAAAATGAACTCCAACAATTCTGAGTTTCTATTCATAGATTTTCAAAACAAACACATATAGCTGAATGTATGTGTATCAACCCAACTTATAACTGAGTATTCTCTGAATTAAGGTACATGGAATGGAATGTTTATTCGAGGATAATTAATATAAATATGCACTTTTTAAGCTTTTAAATATAAATGGACTTCATAATATAATTATATATGTCATATATTTATTTTTAAATAGCTTTAAATATTTTATTTTATTTTAAGTAAATAAATATTAAATAATTGTTTTATAAATATTTTTAAAATTAAAAAACTTTTACAATATATATTCTGTATACCATACATGACTAATATGTATTAAACATTATATAACGTATTGTATATTTAATAAATACAAATTATAAATAATTATGAACATACACTTATATTTATATATGCAATATGTAATTTACATATAATTATATATGTATATATAATTAAAATCCAACAGTAATCACAGCAATTATTTAGAATTTGGACCCAGAGAATTTTTGCTTCAGGAAGGGGTATTTTATCACCATTGTAGCTTACAATTACTGGTACAAGGCAAGAATAAAAAGCATTATCTTTAAAAATGTTGTCTTAAAATTATCTACCGACAATGCCCACTCCTTTTCCTCTCTTGCTGTATCTAGTGCCCAGGTGCTCCATGAGCGTTGAACACATCCCACTGCCGAAAGTTGATAAAAGTGCAGAAGTTTTTAAGGAATGCATTTCAATGAAGTAAACTTTTCCTCTTTAAAGGCCCCAGGAAAGGCGTAGAAAGCAAGATGGTCATCCCATCAATTCAACCTCAGCCGTGCTGAGAGCCACGGTGGTCCTCACCCACGTAGAATCCGCGATGCGCTGCCCCTGCGCCGGCCCATTCTGGATCATCGCTTTTGTTCTCAGGAGGTCTTCCTGGCAGGTCAGGGATTCTCAGTGGGCACAGGCCCCGGGGTTCCTCAGGACATAGCTCTGGGCTTCTCTGTAGCCGCAGGGGCAGCCAGAGTTCTCAAGGCCCAGGACTATATTAGGAAATATATGCGCCAGGGGAACAACAAACATGTTTGTTTCTTCCAGCACAGTCTGCGCTGCTTATCTCAGACACCTCCCTTTCTTCAGCAGAAATCACAGCCCTGGGAGGAATGTTCCCTTCGGGTTTGGGAAGCTTTTACTCCATCTAAATGAGGTCTTGCCCTTGGTATTTGTGAAATCATTTCAAAAGGAATTATTTCTCTAAAGCCAATGGATAGTGTTTGAATTATTTCTCTGGGGCAGACAATCTTTAAAATATCAAATGAGAGCCTCCGTGTAAAGGAGGCATTCCTGAAGGTGAGCAAGATAGCTCTATTACCTGTCATTCATGTGCTTGAAGGACCATCAGCAGATGTCATCACAGATCTCCTAACCAATTTGGTTTGCTGTTAATCATTGTGCTGAGGGCAGTAAGAGTTCTGTGCCATTGGAGAGAGAGAAGACAGGGAGCATTTGAGTCCGTGTCTTTGCTCTGCTCATTATTTACAACCCTTGGTGCTTATACAATGCTCTAACCCAGGGGGCACGAGAGTCCACCCACCACAGCCCAGACACACCTCCTCCCCAGGACTCATTCTTCCCTGTTCCTTTCATGAAATCTGGCACAGCTCATGACTTTCCTTATGCACTTGCCGTTAATGAAAATTCCTTAATTTGCTTCTAGCCACAAAACAGTATTGTTTCCGTAAGTAAAATGTTAAGTCTTTTGTAGTAGTCAAAACTCCAAATTTCACTTAAAGTTATAGTTATCCTTTCCCAGCTTGGGCCTTTTGCAGGCAAGGCCTTGCAGTGGGAGAGGGAGTGTGGTGGGTGTCTTCTCTAGTTTCCTGCTTTCTGTGTGTACCCTTCTTCCTCTAGCTGAGAGCCAAGGCTACGGATTTCTTTCCCCAGGAATGGAGAGAGGAAAGAGATGTGAGGTAAATGGCAGGAAAGGCCTTATTCGACTGGTATTCTTGGATTTGCTGTCAATACTCTCTGGATTCTCTCTTCTGGATGCTTCTGTGGGATCTCTGGAGGGTCTTCTCCCATCACTAATGATCTCTCCTTGCAGTTCTCTTCCGGCTGGTCCTTAAAACCTCACATTTCAGCCTGAGGGCATCTGCAAGAAAACCTCCAGCCTCTGTCCTCAGAGCCTTCTTTCCCTCCAGGTGGCCTCTTGGGCAGGACTGAAGACAATACCAGGTTAATACGCTCTCCTGTAGCTCACACATAGTCTTGCTTGGGTTGCTTCACAACTTTCTCTAGAATGTTGTTCTTAAGATCTTTTGTCTGAAAGTCTTGGATGAAACAGAGACAGGATCCCATTTTAATACTATAATAACAATCCAGTTCATACTTGCCTACCAATTTTTAATTTACAAGTGCTTTGAAAGCCATCTATGTGTGAAGATGAAAACGTCAAATAAGGCAGCAAGAAGGCATAATTGAAAGAGTGATTCAGTGATACCAGATGTAACCTAGAGTAGGGAGCTTTTGTGTTGAGAGGGTGCTTGGGGCTCTGACACCTCTTGTTTTCTTCTAACCAAAATGCATGAAGGCCAAGAAAATTCCTATCTCCTAAGCCATGTAGCCCATTTAGATACTCTTGCAACACTGTGGCACAAATGAAGGGCATTGCATCACCTTCATTTTTAGATTCTACAGAGGTATTGTACCAGAAAGGGAACAGAGAAAGCTTTAGGAATATAGTCATGCATTGCTTAACAATGGAGATACATTCTGAGAAATGCATTGTTAGGCAATTTCATCCTTATGCAAGCATTACAGAGTGTACTTACACAAATTCAGATGGCATAGCCCACTACATGCCTAGGCTATATGGAAAAGCTCATTGCTTCTAGGCTGCAAACCTAGACAGCAGGTTACTGTACTGAATACTGTAGGCAATTATAACACAATGGTAAGCATTTGTGTATCTAAACATATCAAATATAGAAAAGGTACAGTAAAAATACAGTATAAAAGATAAAAAACTGTATGCTTGCATAGAGCACTTACTGTGAATGAAGTTTATAGGACTGGAAGTTGCTCTGAGTAAGTCAGTGAGTGGGTGGTGAGTGAATGTGAATACATAGGACACTAATGTACACTACTGTAGACTTTATTAACACTGTACATGTAGGCAACATTAAATTTATGAAAAAATTCTTTCTTCAGTAATAACATTAGTTTGTTGTAACTTTTTAAATTCATATACCTCTTAATTTTTTAACTCTTTGACTTTTGCAATAACACTTAGCTTAAAACACAAATACATTGTACAGTTGTACAAAAATATTTTCCTACTTTAAGTCCTTATTTTTAAGTATTTTTCTAAGTGTAATTTTTTTTCTATTTTTTAAAGCTTATTTGTTAAAAACTAAGATACACACACATGGTAGCTTAGGCCTACCTAGGTTCAGGATCATTAATATCATTGTCTTTCACCTCCACATCTGATTCCACTGGAAGGTCTCAGAGGCAATTACATACATGGTGCTAGCATCTCTTGTGACAACAATGCCTTTTTCTAGAACACTTCCTGAAGGACCTGCCTGCAGCTTTTTTACAGTTAACTTTTTGTTGTTGTAAGTAGGAGTACACTCTGAAATAATGATGAAAAACATAGTGTAGTAAATACATAAGCAGGTAACATAGGCATTTATCACCACTATCATCAAGTATTATGTACTGTATATAATTGTATGTGCTATATCTTTATATAATCGGTAGTGCAGGAGATCTGTCTACACCAGCATCACCACAAACACATGAGTAATGCATCATGCTATGATGTATGGCAGCTATGATGTCATTAGGTGATAGGAAATTTTCAGCTCCATTATCTTATGGAATAAGATATTGACATTGTCTATGCAGTTTGTCATTGACTAGTATGTCCTTATGTGTTGCATGGCTGTATAGGTGATGAAGTTATATTTTAAAGAATTGATGAAGGAAAATTACAAACAAAATTATGGACAACTTGGCAACCAATCAATCAGTTCAAATAAAATAATCCACAAAGATAAAAATAGTCATGACAATTCAGTGACTAACATGAGAAATTATGAATATTTGTAGGTATTCAAGAAGTACTCATTGATAGAAAATGAAGACCTGCATGAGAATAAGGACATAACTACAACTGAAACTTTTCTCTCCAAACTTTTTCTCTGCCTGGTAGGAGGTATTTGTTGTTAATCCCTCCATGACCTAGAGATCCTGAATGCCACTAAGCGTGGTACGTGCATACATTTTACCACATAAAGTTGCGTCTATGATTCTAGAATTATATGCCACAACAGGGTTCTAGGTCACTTCAAATCATCCTTCAATGGTCTTCAAAGTCTTGAGCTAAAATAATGCCTTCCAGCATTGCTCTGGAGAGTGGTCTGGCCAATATTTGCACATCATTACCTTATACTGACCAAATGAGGGATGCTGCTTATGAAAATTCACCTGAACATGTTCTAATCTTGTTTTCTTATGCTGCACCTTTGACACTTTCACAGAATTATTTTATCTGACTCTTAAAATGCCTTTATGAAGTATTAATATTTAAGATAAAATAACAAGGCTTATAAAGGTTAAATTATTTCCTCAAGATCATATCAAAGAGGCAGAGATGATCATATTTGTTCTTCTTTAATAATACCTCAATTATGCAGAATGTAATAAAAGAATTCAAAATAGAAACCTCCCCATCAATCATCTATTGAATTTTACAACTTTGTTACTCAAAGATTCCTGCTTCATAGATGAAAACGTGCTAAGTCACACAGCTGATAAGTGGGAGAAATCCTAACTCAGTCTAAAGCTTTCTCTACAGTATAATATTGCATTGTGTATATTTTTCTTTCTAAAAACATGTATATTTCTGTATTTAATTTTTATGTAACTTTAAAATTACACTTACTAAGAAATGCATAAATGTGGCTGTCACTTACTCCTAATCTCTTCCCTCTTACTTCCTCATTTAACCAGCCAGCAGCTTGAGCCACAAGACAGAATGAATTAAAAATCCAAAGTAAGTACTTTTTGTTTATATCAATTTCATTGCTGGCCCCAAAAATACAAACCAATATCAACAGTTTGAAATTACTGTGTTAACATTTTCTGTTTCTAAACTAAGCTAAACATCAGAGCAAATTGTATTGCAACACCGATTTGTTTTAATTCCAACTATAACTGAGATTCTTATCCAAGACATGTTAAACTTTCCCATAGTTACCCATATAATGAAGGAATGAAGTTCATGGACTATATTGGCTTACAAATTTGAGTAGAAGTGAAAAAAACTTATAATTTTTTTACAACTCAACAATCTTTTTTCCCTATTAAATTACTTTGCTCTGCCTCCGATAAAAAAAAATCATTATGTTTCATCCAGTGAACATTCCATTTTAGCTTACAATTTGTAGCAATAGCCCTCAGTGGAAATATATTAACAAGAAGATTTTTATAAAATTGATATTTAAAGATCCTATTATCAAATTTTATGGTAAAATAAAGAAAAATCTACATATACTCTACCCTTGTACAGACAGACAATAAAAAATCTAATCATCTAAAGTTTTTTTAATATCTCATGATATGGTAACTAAAGTTCTCCTTCAAATACAAGTTTACATGTTTTCCACCCTTACTCATTTTCTCAGGGGTCATTTAACTTTCTCCTGGCATAAAATTATACCCTTGGAAGGAAAATTTTCAAAAATTAGAAAAACTGCCTTTCGACTAAATCTATTCCTAGTTGGTTCTCATAGTCATATAGTTGTAAGTACACACTTTAATGCTAAACATGCTTATTAGAGGATCATATAAAATAGCAAAATCTGAAAACAAAATAAAATTTCAATAGAAAAGACTGATTAAATAAATTATGACAGAGCCTTACAATGAAATATTATTCACTACTTAAAAAAACCTATAAAAGATCTTTTTATGATCTGAGACATTGCTCATGAAATGGAGTTACTTTTCTTTTTCTTTTTTTTTTTTTTAAATTATACTTCCATTTCTGGGATACATGTGCAGAACATGCAGGTTTGTTACATAGGTACACCTGTGCCATGGTGGTTTGCTGCACCCATCAAACCGTCATCTACATTTCTCCTAATGCTGTCCCTCCCCTGGCACCCCTGACAGGCCCCAGTGTGTGATATTCCCCTCCCTGTGTCCATGTGTTCTCACTGTTCAAATCCCACTTATGAGTGAGAACATGTGGTGTTTGGTTTTCTGTTTCTGTGTTAGTTTGCTGAGAATGATGGTTTCCAGTTTCATCCATGTCCTTGCAAAGGACATGAACTCATCCTTTTTTTATGGCTGCATAGTATTCCCTGGTATATATAAGCCACATTTTCTTTATCCAGTCTATCATTGATGGATATTTGGGTTGGTTCCAAGTCTTTGCTATTGTGAATAGTGCTGCAATAAACATATGTGTGCATGTGTCTTTATAGCAGAATGATTTATCATCCTTTGGTTATATATCCAGTAATGGGATTGCTAGGTCAAATGGTATTTCTAGTTCTAGATCCTTGAAGAATCACCACACTGTCTTCCACAATGGTTGAACTAATTTATACTCCTACCAACAGTGTAAAAGCATTCCTGTTTCTCCACATCCTCTCCAGCATCTGCTGTTTCCTGACTTTTTAATGATTGCCATTCTAATTGCTGTGAGATGGTATCTCATCGTGGTTTTGATTTGCATTTCTCTAATGACCAGTGATGATGAGCTTTTTTTTCATATGTTTGTTGGCTGCATAAATGTCTTCTTCTAAGAAGAGTCTGTTCATATCCTTTGCCCACTTTTTGATGGGGTTGTTTATTTTTTTCTTGTAAATTTGTTTAGGTTTTTTGTAGATTCTGAATATCAGCCCTTTGTCAGATGGATAGATGGCAAAAGCTTTCTTACATTCTGTAGGTTGCCCGTTCACTCTAATGGTAGTTTCTTTTGTTGTGCTGAAGCTCTTTAGCTTAATTAGATCCCATTTGTCAATTTTGGCTTTTGTTGCCATTGCTTTTGGTGTTTTCCTCCTGAAGTCTTTGCCCATGCCTATGTCCTGAATGGTACTGCCTAGGTTTTCTTCTAGGGTTTTTATGGTCTTAGGTCTTAACGTTTACATCTTTAATTCATCTTAAGTTAATTTTTGTATAAGGTGTAAGGAAAGGGTCCAGTTTCAGTTATCTGCATATGGATAGCCAGTTTTCCCAACAGCATTTATTAAATAGGGAATCCTTTCCCCATTGCTTTTTTGGTCAGATTGATGAAACATAACTCAAAATAATAAGAGCTATTTATGACAAACCCTCAGCCAATATCGTACTAAATGGGCAAAAGCTGGAAGCATTCCCTTTGAAAACCGGCACAAGACAAGAATGCCCTCTCTCAACACTCCTATTCAACATAGTATTGGAAGTTCTGGCTAGGGCAATCAGGCAAGAGAAAGAAATAAGTGTTATTCAAATAGGAAGAGAGTAAGTCAAATTATCTCTGTCTGCAGATGACATGATTGTATATTTAGAAAACCCCATTGTCTCAGCCCAAAATCTCCTTAAGCTGATAAGCAACTTCAGCAAAGTCTCAGGATACAAAATCAATGTGCAAAAATCACAAGCATTCCTATACACCAATAATAGACAAACAGAGAGCCAAATCATGAGCAAATTCTCATTCACAATTGTTACAAAGAGAATAAAATACCTAGGAATACAACTTAGAAGGGATGTAAAGGACCTCTTCAAGAAAAACTAGAAACCATTGCTCAAGGAAATAAGAGAGGACACAAACAAATGGGAAAACATTCCATACTCATGGATAGGAAGAATCAATATCATGAAAATGGCCACGCTGCCCAAAGTAATTTATAGATTTAATGCTATTTCCATCAAGCTACCATTGACTTTCTTCACAGAATTAGAAAAAACTACATTAAATTTCATATGGAACCAAAAAGGAGCCTACATAGCCAAGACAATCCTAAGCAAAAAGAACAAAGTTGGAGGCATCACACTACCTGACTTCAAACTATACTACAAGGCTACAGTAACCAAAACAGCATGGTACTGGCACCAAAACAGATGTATAGACCAATGGAAGAGAAGACGGGCCTCAGAAATAACACCACACATCTACAACCATCTGATCTTTGAAATGGAGTTATTTTTTAAAACCTTATTATAAGAAACATATTACATGCTATCAGTTCCAAGATGCACATTTTCACCTCTTAACATTTCTAGAATCTGAATGCATCTTGAAATCCATGGTGTACAATTGTTGTAGGCCAGGTAGCAGTGGTGGCATCGTTGTTTTTACTGGCACATGTTTGAGCTTGGTTGCTATTTTTGGTGGAATGATTGGACAATGCCATTTCTCATTGTTTCAGTCAACAAACCATTTAAAGACAACTTGTGGAAGAAATACAAATCCTGGTTATTACTTAAAAATCTTACATCAACTCTTGCTTCTAACAGCGAAAAGTGTGCTAGCAACAAAGCTCACATAAAATGAAGGGCTAAAAGCTTTCCTCACTAAAACTGGAAGCAAGACAAGGATGCATATTCCCACCACTACTATTTAAAATAGGAATGGAAGTCTTAGCCAGTGTAACAAAGCCAGAATTAAAACAAAAAAGTCCCACATATTGAAAATAAAGAAATAAAAGTATCTCTATTTGCAGAAGGCATGATTATCTACATGAAAAATCTTTAAATATCTACAAGAAAAAATCCAGTTCCTTGAATGAATATGGTGGTCAAATAGGATCATAGAGTACAAGGAAAACCCATAAACATCAATCATATTTCTACTAGCATTAATAATAATTGGAATTCAACATTAAAAATTCAATGCTATTTGCAATAGCTCCTCCCAAAAACTTAGCTATAAATCTCACAAAATATGTATAAAATCTACATGCTGAGAAATGCAAAATACTGATGAAAAAATTAAAGAAGACCCATATAATTAGAAGACATATACGTTCATGTATTGAAAGACCCAGTATAGTGAAGATGTCAATTCCTCTCAAACTTGTCAATTGTTTTAAAACTATTTCAAGCAAAGTGTCAGAAGGTCTTTTTGTAGATATAGACAAGCTGATTCTAAATTTTATGTGGAAAGGCACAAGGATTAGAATAGCCAAAACAATTTTGGAAAAGAAAAATAAAATTGGGGTAGTCATTCTACCCAATTACAAGATTTACTCTAATGCTACAATATCTAACCTAGTGAAAATATAGACATATAAATAAATGAAACAGAATAGAGCCTCCAGAAATAGACCTGCTCCAATATGGTCAATCAATTTTTGACCAAGTTTTAAGACACAATTTAATAAAGAAAGAGTAGTCTTTTCAACAAATAGTGTTGGAACAATTAACATACATATGCAAAATATATACCTTAACATAATTTTTATACAAAAATTAACTCAAAATGAACCATGGGTACATATAAAATGTGAACCAATTAACCTTTTCTACTCTTTTTGTTCTGGAATAAATACTTTTAAAAAATGAACAAAAAGAGACGTTTAGGCAAGTGGGTTCTGATTGTCTTGATTTTGCAAAAGCAAAGAATCTTATCCATGGATATGATATGATGAGGTGATTTATTGAACTTGGAACTCCCTGAAGACAAATTTAATTCTTATTACTCACACCTATCCTCCCACCAGATAATTCTTCAAGATACACACATCAGGAATAATCTGCAAAGCAATAATCAACTTGGGATTATTTCTGGCAATTGTAAATGTATCACAGTTGGAGAATTAACCACAACATTTTTTTTAATGAATTGTTATCTTTATTGGGAAAGAGAATACTGCCTATGGCTTTGCCTTTTTAAAACTCTCAAATTCTGGGATGTGATGAGAAATCCAATATTTCAGAAAAGGTGTAACAACGCTAGTGGTGGATTTGCATTTGTTTTCTATCTCTGCCCCCTCGTGCACACACATTTCCACATGCGGGCTCTGGGAAACCAAAGGCAACCCTTCTCTTTCTGAACTCCATCAGTAATGACTCCAGTAACAATAACTGTCGGGGGCTGGAATAGTAAACATTTTGTAAAAGCAAATGGCTTCCAAATGTGCACTTTCTCCGTGAGCATGTCCCTTGTGAGCCTGACTCAGAAAGCCAGAGCAGGTAAAAGCACCAAGCCCAAAGTCTGATGACAGGATCAAGCAGCTGAAATCTGTGATGGGTAACCTCAATCCCATCTGCAATCTCTTCTCTCTTTCCACTGTAAGGTGAGTTTACTTGGCCTGTTGATTTGATCTATAAGACTGGCCCTTTATGAGTTTTGTGTACTGTGTTTATCCTGGGAACCATTTACAAAGCCACTAGGTATCTAAATATAACCTGGCCTACTGGCAGGGGGATTGCTAGGTGGAGGTGAGTAACTACTCAGCTCCCTTGACCTTTGGGTCTCCTATCTAGAAGAAAATATTTTAATTTTACTAAGACTTAGTATCTGTGTTTTCAGAATGGCCACTTAATCTCCGGAAATTAACACTATGACTAAATCAAGAGCCCCAAAGCTATTTATTTACTTGTTTTATGGGAACCCACAATATTATGTAATATTCATAAAATGCAATATATGCCACTAGATTTAAAAACAATGCTTTCAAAAATTTTGAGCATGTAATTAAGGAAAAGGGCAGTGATAAAAAATTATGTACCATTTTATTAAAGCACTCTATAATGGGGATGTCTGCATTAAATGGAAACCATATAGGAGGAGCACAATAGAAACTTTTATTGCTGGATAGTGGGATTATTAGTGATTTTTATTTTTTAGGTTACAGTCATGAACCAGATGATGACATTTTGGTCAACAACAGGCCACATGTATCACCCTGATTCCATAAGATTGCAATACTCTATTTTTATTGCTCCTTTTCTATGTTTAGACACGCAAATACTTATCATTGTGTTACAATGGCCTATGGTATTCAATACAGAAACATACTGTCCAGGGTTATAGCCTAGGAGCAATAGGCTATACTAAATAGGTAGGTGTGTAGTAGGCTATACCATCTAGGTTTGTACCACTACATTCTATAATGTTCACAGAATGACGAAACCACCTAATAATGCATTCCTCAGAACATATCCTCGTCATTGAGAGATGCATGACTATATTTACGTGTTGTCAATATTCTTGCCTAGAACGTAAATTTATTTATTTTTAAATCTTGAAAAGTAACACTTCAAAATATAACTATTATCTCTACATTTTGGAAATAGATCAGATTTTTATATCTTTCTATAGTGGGATCATTCTACTCTCCCTGTAGTTACAAGTTATCAATTAAAGATGTATTATTATTATTATTATTTTTATTTATTTATTTTTTTTTTGAGACAGAGTCTCGCTCTTTCGCCCAGGCTGGACTGCAGTGGCGCTGTCTTGGCTCACTGCGAGCTCCGCCTCCCGGGTTCACGCCATTCTCCTGCCTCAGCCTCCCGAGTAGCTGGGACTACAGGCGCCCGATACCACGCCCGGCTAATTTTTTTTTTTTTTTGTATTTTTAGTAGAGACGGGGTTTCACCGTGTTAGCCAGGATGGTCTCGATCTCCTGACCTCGTGATCCGCCCGCCTCGGCCTCCCAAAGTGCTGGGATTACAGGCGTGAGCCGCCGCGCCCGGCCAAGATGTATTATTTTATAATTAAAAAAACTAAACTAGAGGATTTTTATTGGCATCTTAGTGAATAGGAAAGTGGTTTTCTTTTGGGATGGAGTCTTGCTCTGTTGCCCAGGGTGGAGTGGAGTGGCGCGATCTCGGCTCACTGCAAGCTCTGCCTCCCTGGTTGACTCCATTCTCCTGCCTCAGCCTCCTGAGTAGCTGGGACTACAGGCGCCCGCCACCACGCCCGGCTAATTTTTTGTATTTTTTAGTAGAGATGGGGTTTCACCCTGTTAGCCAGGATGGTCTCGATCTCCTGACCTCGTGATCCACCCGTCTTGGCCTCCCAAAGTGCTGGGATTACAGGAGTGAGCCACCGTGCCTGGCCGGAAACTGTTTTATTTTATCTTATTAAATAATTATTTTAATCCTCCCCAAAATCACTTCCCTTGGCACATCCTGGCTTAGTGTCTTAGGGACTCTGGTGTTTGGGGTTGCTCCCTTTCAACTTTCTCCTTCATTCCTAGGGAATTTCCTTGTTTTCCCCTGCTGACAAAAAGTGTTCTGTGGAAACAAGGGGCCAGCTCAAGTTACAGAACTAAAAGGATTGTTTTAAAAAGCAGATAATTTCTCATCTAACTGCACAGCTTCTGGCCACCAGAGCAGCTGAATGAAGCTTGAAAAACTCAGGGACATCCAAAGGTGCTTGCAATAAGCAAAGCAAAACAGTGCACACTCCCCAGCCAGGGTCTCAAGGCCCCACAACGAACAGCTTCACCCAAGCCTGCAGCTGCTGGCTATTTTCTATGAGAGCTGGGACAAGACACACTGGGCCGGGACCTCTGCGTAACTTACACAGATGCTGAGCCTTTTGCAAAGTCTGCTGGACATACACCATCTTCAAAGAACCCCCACCCCATACATCCCTTTGAAGAACTTGCTTTACTCAGGACAAAATATCAAGATTCTTGCTGTTTAAATTTCACAGGAAGCCAAGGCACTGATAAATGAGAGCTCATCCATACATGTTTTCACTCTGTTACCTAAGAAACTATCTTCAAAACAGAAGTCCTCATAAATACTCTGGAGATGCATCAGACACTCTCCGGTGCTGCACGACACTGTGTATATTGTTTGGCAAGAGTTCATGGGGGAAGATAAACTAGCACATCTTGCCAGGATTCTATTACTCTTGACCCTGACCTTGGCTGGAGGCTGTTTCCAGTTACACTCCATCTTAAAGAAAGACAGCACCTACTCTTTCCCCGTTTCCCTCTTCTCTTCTGTTTTCAGTTTCCCCAAGCACAATGCCTCATTGGAGGGAAGAAATATTTGTTGGCTACTGCTTCTCATTCTTAGCTTTCTCATCTGAACACCAATACTCAAATGATATCATGAAACCTTTAGTAATGGAGGCTCACTTTTAGAAAGCACCTGATCTCTGCACAATATTGCTCACTGTGATTATTTTTTCCCCTGAGTCATGACTCAACTTAACTGTGCCCTCTCTGCAATATGAGGTTCCTCAGGTTCCAACGTATGGTCTACCAGGGTAGTATTTTCCATTCCTCACTCCCACCAGCTTAGGCTAGGTTCACTTCCGATACTCTCCAGGGGAAAAAATAAGTTTCCCATTGAGGTGGCACCATAAGCTACAAAGCCTGGGGAGACTCACGGGGAGTGGCCAAGGGCTTCATGCGCAGAATTTTTTCTATGTAGTAATTGTAACTGAAGCAGAATACTACAATTTTGAGAGGCTCAGGTTTAATAGTACCTTTAAAAGTGAAAATAATGGCTGTATTGGTCCATTCTTGCACTGTTATAAAGAAATATCTGACACTGGGTAATTTATAAAAAAGAGATTTGATTGTCTCACAGTTCTGCAGGCTGTATGGGAAGCACGATGCTGACATCTGCTTGGATTCTGAGGAGGTCTCAGGAAATTTACAAACGTGGCAAAAAATGAAGGGAAAGCAGGCTCATCTAAGGTGGCTGGAGCAGGAGGAAGGTGGCAGGAGGTGCTACACACTTTTAAACAACCAGATCTCAGGAGAATTCACTCACTATTACGAGAACAGCACCCAGTGGGAAATCTGCTCCCAAGATCCAATCACCTCCCACCAGGCCCTGCCTCCAATATTGGGCATTGCAATTCTACATGAGATTTCAGTGGGTATGCAGAGCCAAACCGTATCAATGGTTAATATTAATATTTATCGAGCAGTTACAATGTTTTTTTTTACCTGTATCTCATTTTATTCTAAAAATAATCCAATGTAGTAAGTATTATCCCAATTTCACTTATGAGAAAACAAAAGCTTGATGAGGATAAGTAATTGTCCTGTAGGAAATTAAATGGTAACTGATAAAACTTTCCCTATGTAGAGATACAAAAATCTAACCTAATTCTAGAATATAGAGATAACTGTTACATTGAGTGCTGCTGTTTTCAAGTCTTTTAAAAAAGTGTTCTAGACAAAAACTTGAGAACACATAAATAGTATGGAAAATAAAAATCCCTGGTAATCTCACCACCCAGTAATAAAAGTTGCCCCCACTTTTGTTTTTTTTTATCTATATATTGTTTCAGTTTAATGCAGACGTCCTTCATTATAGAGTGCAGTACTGACATGGTTCATAACTCTTACCACTGTCTTTTTCCTTAGTCACATCTTTAATATTTTTGAAAATATGATTCTTAAATTCAGCTGATACACATTTTATGACTAGTACATAATTTATTTACCTACTGTTCTCTTCTTGAGCATTCGGATTTTTGCTGGATTTTCACATAGTGACCAAACAGGTACATAAGAAATACTTCTACATATTTCTAATTATTTGCCAGAGTCTAGAGTGCTAACCATTTTTCTCTCCAGTAAAATAAGTAGGGCAGAGAATCTAAGCAGGATTAAGACCTTATATGAACAATACCAATTTGTGACACAATTAAGGTGTTTGAAATTTCCTTAGGTGGCCTACAGGAGCCTGCATTTGCCTAGACATCCACCTCAACAGATGGTGTCAATGTCTGCTAATATGACAGGCAAAGAATGGTTATCTCTAATTTTTTATAAATGTTTCTGGAATTAAATTTGTTTCCATATGTATTTTGAGTGTTTTAAACATCGCTCTTCATTTTCTGTTTCATTGTTTTGCCCATTTTATATAAGAAACTTTAAAAATTTATTTCTAAAGATACTTAGAATATTAATGTGTTAAGGTTAATCTTTGACAAAAATATTTTCCCAAGTTTCTGCCTTGGAGTTTTTGTATACAATATATGTTGATGGAATTTTTTTGTGTGATAAGATGTATCAATTTTATTATAATTTATTTATTTATTTATCTTGCTGTTATTTATTTGGTTGTCATTTTCTTTGTGTGTGTGCCTGTATGTGTGTAAAAAGCCTTCCATACTTCAAAATTGGGTACCTAGTTACTTATTTTTTTTCTAGTTTCTTCACAGGATTCTCTTTTTATATTTAATTTTATATTAATTTAAAATTAATAGTGACATATGAAATGAGTTAGAAGTTTAACTATATATTCTCCCCAACTAGTTGTCCTGTTTATTATTCCTGGTGAATAAAAATTAAGAAGAATGGATATCTATAAAACTCAGTCTTTTCATCCAGGGACAGGTGTTTTTTTTTTTCATTATTTTAAAATTGTTATTAAAGTTTTATTGTGTTCTTTGCACATTTTTGGCGGCTGAATATTTTGTAGGTGTTTTTATTGTTAGTACAAATAGACTATTTTCCAAATGTCTTCAAACTAATTTATGCATTTATATGAGAAAACTATTGATTTTGATTTTTTGTATTATTCTAATAACTGTAAGCTATTATTAATTCTACAAAATTTTAGTTGAATATCTCCTGAATTTTTGTTAATACTGTTTTTAATCTAGAAACCCAAGTTATTGTTGGTAAATACCTGTGTGTGTATGTGTGTTTATATGTATGTGTATTCTCTCAAAAGCAAATTCTGGTATTTGCTCTATGTATTATTACCAAATTTATAATTACTATTTAGCCTATACTCTATGCCTTCTGCTTCTAGCACTGAACACCATTACATTAATACTATATTAACTCCAATCTTGAATTATTAAATTGTAATCATTGTTCAGTCATTTTTAAAAGAAGGATATGTGAGAGGCATATTTTCTAAACCCTAACGTATCATAAAGAGAAAGAACTGTCTTTGTGGTCATCTATGATATGAACAAACTCTTTCCTTTTATAACTCCTTATCTGTGCATGTTGGAGTACAAATTCAATACAATAGAAGCAGAAAGCTGGGATAAAAATTTCAAGGCTAGTTGGATAAGAAAAGTGTTCAGTTGCACAGGAATGATAAGACAAATTATTTTTTATCTAGTAAATGAATCCAGTAGACTTCTTACATGGCTTCTGCTGTACATCAATTTTAAAGGTCAGGGCGGTGGTAGTACTCGTTAAATCTTAGAATATCTCCTAAATCCCCAGTTCTCTGGAGTTAGCTAAACCCAAACTGTTTAAGTCTCTGAGAACTTTTCAACCTAATTCTTTTTTTTTTTTTTTTTTTTTTTTTTTTTGACGGAGTCTTGCTTTGTCGCCCAGGCTGGAGTGCAGTGGCGTGATCTCGGCTCACTGCAAGCCCCGCCTCCCAGGTTCACCCCATTCTCCTGCCTCAGCCTCCCGAATAGCTGGGACCACAGGCGCCCACCACCACGCCCGGCTAATTTTTTGTATTTTTAGTAGAGACGAGGTTTCACCGTGTTAGCCAGGATGGTCTCGATCTCCTGACCTCATGATCCTCCCGCCTCGGCCTCCCAAAGTGCTGGGATTACAGGCGTGAGCCACCACGCCTGGCCCAACCTAATTCTTTAATAATAGTGACATCTCTAAAACAAAATTTGCTCACAGTCAGCAGTCAGTAATTTCTTCTTAGCCAGGGTAGAACTCTTTTATTGCACGCTCTAAAAAGATTATTTGTAAACATGACTGTATTATTCTGTGTTTTCAAAAGACAGGCAAAAAGATATTTGTATTTCTAGAGATAACCTCAGCCATGAAATAAGGTGCTATGTTTTTAAATAGTATATAATATATAATCAAATTATAAGCAATTTTAATTAGCTTTAGAAGTTAAAAATATTTTTTATCATTAAGAAACTATAGAATTGTCACCTTCTAAATGAAAAGAGATTCTATTAAAATTTTATGTTTTTAGTGAGAACACATGGGCACAGGGAAAGGAACAGCACACACTGGGTCCTGTCATGGGGTCGGGGGAGGGAGAGCATCGGGATAAATAGCTAATGCATGTGGGGCTTAATACCTCAGTGATGGGTTGATAGGTTCAGCAAACCACCATGGTACACGTTTACCTATGTAACAAAACTGCACATCCTGCACATGTTCCCTGGAACTTAAAATAAAATAAAACAAAAATAAAAAAAGAAAAATAAATGAAAAAGAAAATTTTAAAAAGTTAAAAAATTATGTTCTTGATACAGAGAAAAATCTTTAGTTTATTAGTTATTTTTACTCTTGCCATGTTTCTATAAAGGCAAGAAAATTAAGAACTGAAAAGCAAACATGGTCTATTTCTTTCATCACCCCACACTATATCTCTGTAATTTATTTCTATAATGCAGGAAGGGTACTAGGGAAGATGACAAGTATTATGAAAAGATATATACTGGCCAGGCACGGGGTCTCACGCCTGTAATCCCAGCACTTTGGGAGGCCCAGGTGGGCAGATCACGAGGTCAGGAGTTTGAGACCAGCCTGACCAACATAGTGAAACCACATCTTTATTAAAAATACAAAAATTAACCAGGCGTTAATCCCAGCTACTCAGGAGGCTGAGGCAGGAAAATCGCTTGAACCCAGGAGGCGGACCTTGCAGTGAGTCGAGATTGCTCCATTGCACTCCAGCCTGGGTGACAGAGCAAGACTTCATCTCAAAAGAAAAAAATATATATACATTATATATTATATATATTTTATATAATATATATTTTATATATTTTATATATTATATTATATATAAAGAGAGCAAGAAATTTCACATTCTTAAGAGAAATGTCACTAAGTATTGACAGAAAAAAAAACAAAAACTAAACTAGAATGTTAACGTTCAAACTAGTCTTAAGGAGATAAATCTACATAACCTTATTTTAAATCTGATTCTAGAATAGGATATATTAGGAGATATTGAATTAAAGAAAGAAAAAAATGTAGGGGTAGATCACACTTCAATTTACAATAGATAAAGTTGACTAATAAAGGAATGAGACTGTGCCTTAATGTCTACACATTAAGGTAGTCAAAACAATGCAAGATAAGAAAGTCCAAATAAGACTCAAGAATCCAGAAAGCATTTTATAAATGATAAACAAATTATTGGGGGAGGATAAAGAGTAGAAATGACATGGAGAAAACTAGCAGCCAATTAGGGAACAAAAAAAGGAAACCCCCACTTCATTCCTCACATCACAATACATTCAAATGGATCAAATAAAATGAAACAATAGGTATTATAAAATATACATGGATAAAAGTTTAGAGTGGTGAAGATGACTCTAAGCATGACATAAAATGCAAAATTGATTAAATTGGTAACTTAAATCATTAGAAACATAATGAAGTGAAAAGGCAAGTTGCAAACAGAAAAAAACATACGTGCATCATAGATGATCAAACATTGAGCTGATAAATACAAAATATAAACAACTCTTAAAAATCAAATGGCAAATAATTGACCTAGGAAAAATATGGACAAAGAATATAAAAAGGAAAGCACTGTGTAAGAAATACAACCAACCAATAGATACATAGAAAAAAGTCAACCTCCTTACTAGTAAAATAGATATAAATTAAAGTAACAATGAAATAATAGCATGTTTGACATAGAGACTGACAAAGATAATCAATTTTGCCAACATTTGATGTTGATAAGGATATCAGGAAAATACCCTTCTATTTACTGCTAGTAGGAACATAATACACATTATCTTTTTGAGTGGAAATTGGAGATATAAACCAAACAAATATCCATGATTTTTTATTCTATGCAACATGATGTTCATTGTAAATTATTTACATTTTCATACTAATAAAACGAGGAATAATCAATTGTCTAATAATAACAAATAAATCTTTTATGATACCATCATGCAATAGACTATTATGTCCCATTAAAAATGAGGAAAATAAGGTAGATCTTACGCATATACTCACATAAAAAATGCCCAAAATGTATTGTTAATTTAGAAATAAAAGGTTCCTAATAATACATTTTGTATAATTTTATTTCTTTTTTTTTTCTTGAGACGGATTTTCACTCTTGTCACCCAGGTTAGAGTGCCACGGCATGATCTCGGCTCACTGCAACCTCCACCTCCTGGGTTCAAGCGCTTCCCCTGCCTCCCCTTCCCTAGTAGCTGAGATTACAGGCTCCCACCACCATGCCCAGCTAATTTTTGTATTTTTAGTAGAGACGGGATTTCATCATGTTGGCCAGGGTGGTCTCAAACTCCTGACCTCAGATGATCCACCTGCCTTGGCCTCCCAAAGTGCTGGGATTACAGGTGTGAGCCACAACGCCTGGCCTGTATGATTTCTTTTCTGCTTTTTAAAAGTATTTATATTTTACAACTGCACTCACGACTCACCTCTTTCTCTTTCTTATCTCTTCTCTATCTCTCCATAGTCTGCATTGGAAATATCTGAAAAAACACCAAAATTTATCTGTGATTATTAGGGATATGTGATTTTAGTGGACTATCACCTTTAAATAATATATCGCTATATTTTATAACATTTTACTATGGGAAATATTTTTACTTAAAAATATCAAATATTTTAAAAGAAAACATTATTAAAAATATGTAGAAACATGGGAAATGAATATACTTCATTTGTTTTGGAGGCATATTTGGGATAATTGCTTTGTTTTTTCATTTACTGACATCTCCAATTGCTACAACCTCCTTTGTGTTATAAACCATGGAAGATGATTAATTGGAATCAACACCAACAGCTAACTTCCTTCTACTTGGCCTTATTGTTACTGTAAGGGTTGAAACCTAAAATGACATTCACAAATTCCTTGGCAGGTAAGCTTTCAGATGTCATTTAGCTTTGATCATTTAGATTTACTCATGTAAAATCTATGGACTTCCAAGCATTCAAACTGCAAGGATGATGATGAAGATGGTGATGATTACGATGGTGATGATTACGGTGGTGATGGTAATGGTGGTAATGACAGTTTTCTGCAGCAGCATCAGCAGATGTCCTAGTGATGAGTAGCTGCCTTCCTAAGAATTAACAGAATTTAGGTCATCCATTTTGCCACTTCTGGAGGTGGCAGCAGTAGTAGCAATTTCTCAATTCAGTGTTTCCCTGATAATAAAAGAGTCTCTGAGTTGCCCTGGGTCTGCTCAAGTCAGAGTCTGTTTCTTCAAACATTCAAAGGATTCTTCTAAGCTGGGTAATATCCACCAATGAGTCTCCTTGTTCTTAAACTAGAGTGTTGTCTAGTACCTAAGTTCTGATTGAGGTATTGTCAAATAAATAAGTGAAGAGATGAAAACATATAGAAAACAAATATAAAGCACCCGGGTAAAAATGAGCAAATATGAATCACTAGTGATACATTTCTATGGCTTCATAAAGTATATTCGATTGAGTCACTACTGACAACCTTTCTAGATGTATTTAAGTTATAGATTCTGGGATGTTTTTAAGTTACGCTTAAACCTTTCAATACCTACTTTTACTGTGTTCCACTTTGTTCCACTTTACAGAAATTACATTTTTACTAATTGAAAGCTTGTGGCAACCCTGCCTCAAGTCTGTCTGCATCATTTTTCAAACAGCATGTTCTCACTTCATGTCCTGTGCCACATTTTGGTAATTTTCACAATATTTCAAGCTTTTCATTATTACTATATCTGTTATGGTGCTCTGTGATCAGTGATGTTCAATGTTACTGTTATAATTGTTTTGGGGAAAAATGATCTATGCTCACATAAGTCTGCAAACTTAATTGATAAATGTTGTATATGTTATGGGTGCTCCATCAACAGGCTGTTCCCCCATCTCTTTCCCTCTCTGTGGGCCTTCCTATTTCATGAAACACAAACGTATTGAAATTAAGCAATTCAGTAATCTTAAAATGGCTTCTGAGTGTTCAAGTGAAAGGAAGACTTGCACATCTCTCACTTTAAATCAAAAACTATAAACAAATAAGCCTAGTGAGGAAGGCACATCAAAAGCCAAAATAGCTCAAATGTTAGGCCTCTTATGACAAACAGCCAAATTGTAAATTCAAAGGAAATGTTCCCATAGGAAATTAAATGTGCTACTTCAGTGAACAAATGACTATAAGAAAGCAAAACAGCCTTACTGCTAATATGGTAAAAAAAAAAAAAAATGTTTAAGTGGTCTAGATAGAAGATCAAACCAGCCACAACATTCTTTTAAACCAAAGCCCAAAGCCTAATCCAGAGCAAGGTTCTAACTCTCTTCAATTCCATGAAGACTGAGAGAGGTGAGGGAGCTGCAGAAGAAAACTTGGAAGCCAGCAGAGGTTGGTTCATGAGGTTTAAGGAAAGAAGCCATTCTCACAAAATAAAGTATAAGGTGAAGCAACAAATGCTGATATAGAGGCCATAGCAAGTTATCCAGAAAATCTAGCTAAGATTATTGATGAAGGTGGCTAAATAATAGATTTTTCAATGTGGATGAAACATCCTTATATTGGAATTTTCACAGCTAGAGAGGAGAAGTCAATGCTTGGTTTAGAAGCTTCAAAGAATAGGTTGATTCTCTTGTTTGGAGCTAATGTAGCTGGTGACTTTAAATTGAAGCCAATGTTCATTTATTATTCCAAAAGTTCTAGGGCCTTTAATAATTATGCTAAATCTACTCTGCCTGTGCTCTATAAATGGAACAACAAAGCCTGGATGACAGCACATCTGTCTACAGCATGATTTGCTGAATACATTAAGCCCATTGTTGAGATTAATACTCAGAAAAAAAAACTATTTCAAAATATCACTGCTCACTGACAATACACCTGGTTACTCAAGAGCTCTGATGGAGATGCACAAGGAGACTAATGCTGTTCTCATGCCTGCTAACACAACGTCCATTCTGCAACTCATGGATCAAGGGGTAATTTTGACTCTGAAGTCTTACTATTTAAAAAATATATTTTGTAAGGTGATAGTACCATAGATTGAGGTTTGCCACATTGATTGACTCTTCCTTTCACAAAAAATTCTCTGCAGCATGTGATGCTGTCTGATAGCATTGTAACCACAGTAGAATTTTTTTCAAAACAGAAGTCACTCCTCGCACATTCTGCTACTACTTTATCTAGCAGGTTTCTGTAATGTTCTTAATTCTTTGTTGTCATTTCAACAACGTTCACAGCATCTTCACCAGGAGTAGATTCCATCTCAAGAAACCACTTTCTCTGATCATCCATAAGAAGCTACTCCCCATCTGTTAAAGTTTTATCAAGAGATTCTTGCAATTCAGTCACATCTTCAGGCTCCATTTCTAATGTGAGTTTTCTTGCTGTTTCTACCACATCTGCAGTTACTTCTTTCATTGGGCCAACATAATAAGTTGTAGGGGAAAGTGTGATGGGGCTTCTTGTTCCCTCACTTCTAATAAATAGTTAAATGAAAAAGGCCTCCTCCCCTCCCTCCCTCATCCCTGAAAGCTGTCTTTTTTGAATGTGATGCCAGGATGCTCTGGCGTGTCTTATAACCATAAAGGAAGTCATTTTGAGGGCGAAAGGGGGAGAAAGCCAAACTATTCAGCCTTCTTCAATTGAGGTTCTGCTTTGGAATCACAGAACAAAGATGTGAATCTTTTCTTAATTCTCTCAAGAGTGATAGTAAATACTACCACTACAGATGCATAGAAGTTAATTAATTGCATGCAATAGATGCCTTAAGGCATTAGGGCTAAATTCTCTGGAGATCCAGTTGAGAAAAGCTCCATAATGAGTGGGATAATGGTACTCACTGTTATTATTCTGTATTTCTTTTCATGAAAAATAGTACATTTCCTTATTATTTAAGGTAATTAGAGGTGGGGTTTTCTGAAACTTGCAGCTGAAAGCAATTTAGCTCATATACCCCTTACCGTGAGATATAGTGAGTTTCACTTCACCTTTCTGTTTCCTCGTTGATGGACATGGCAGCTAATGTGAAGTCAGTAAGTATTTATTGTTAGCAAAGAAGTTTGACATCTTCAAAGTTATAAATCATGGCTCTGTTATAAGTTCCTTTTAGAAGGGTGATAATTTGTTAGGTTCATTCAGACCCTCAAATTTGAAAACATTTTATTCATCATTTAGAAAAACAAAACTAGATTGTCCTGAGCACTGTTAGGATGAATAAACTTTTAAGACTTAATGATTTAATAACTAGCCATGAGAATAATTCAGTCCCAACAATTGCTGACTGTTGACAGTGTAAGTATAAACATGACCTCCATTCATTCATTTGCTGACAGGCCTTCGGAAGCTTGAGGACATGAATGGCAAGTGTGTATCAAGCATGGGCCAATTTGTTTAAGTTGGACGTTGCCTTGAGGGAAGGACAGGGACAGTGTTTTCTCAGCAAAGTTTTTCACTTGCCTTACTGAGATGACGAAAGATACGTAGAAAACAGGAACCAGGAGGCTTTGTGGAAGCTAAGTTGATGAGATCACTGAACTAACCCTCGGTGTTACTTAGAATGGTCATCACTTTTCTTTAACACTGCTAAAGATTCTCCCCAGTGAAATTAGGCAAGAAAATAAAAAAGCATCCAGATTGAAAAAGAAGTAAATCTGTCTAGTCCCAGGTGACATGATGGTCTATGTAGAGGATTCGATGAAATATACTAAAATGAGCTATTAGAATGAGTGAGTTAGTAAACTTGCAGGGTACAAGATCAATACACAAAAACTAATTGTATTTCTACATACGGGCACTGAACAATTAAAAATTGAAGTAAAAATTTAACCATATCACCAAAATATGAAATACTAAGGGATAAATCTGACAAATAACATCCAAAATCTATATGCTGAAAACTTCCAAATATTGCTGAGAGAAATTTTAAAAGATCCTAATAAACGCAGAGATACACTGTGTTCATAATTTGAAAACTGAATATTGTTAAAATGCTAATTTTTCCCAAAATGACCTGTAGATTCAATGCAATTTCAATTAAACATATCGTTTTTGTTTGTTTGTTTTAATATAATTGGACAGGCTGATTCTACAATTCAAATAGAAATACAAAGGACCTATGTAGAAGAGCCAAAACAACTTTTTCAAAGATAAAAAAGTTGGAGGATTTACATTATCTGATTCCAAACCTTATTATAAAGCTACAGCAATTGAGACAGTGTAATATTTATCTAAATACAGACAAATGGAATAATAGAATAAAAGGGACCGGGCGTGGTGGCTCACGCCTGTAATCCCAACACTTTGGGCGGCCAAGGCAGGCAGATCTCGAGGTCAGGAGATTGAGACCATCCTGATCAAAATGGTGAAACCCCATCTCTACTAAACAACAACAACAACAACAACAAAATCAGCTGGGCGTGGTGGCGCCTGCCTGTAATACCAGCTACTCAGGAGGCTGAGGCAGGAGAACCGTTTGAACTTGGGAGGCGGAGGTTGCAGTGAGCCGAGATCTCGCCACTGCACTCCAGCCTGGTGACAGAGCAAGACTCTGTCTCAATTATAAAAAAAAAAGGAGATTCAGAAATAGGTCCACACATATATGTGTAACTTATTTTTCCACAAAGGTTCAAAGGCAATTCAGTGGGAAAAGAATATATTTTTTTAACCAATCAGAAAACTAAACAAAAAAGTTTCAATTCATACATTTAGCCATGCACAAAAATTAACTCAAAATTGATTTTATACCTTAATTTATAAATTAAAATCATAACTTTCAGATTAAAACACTGGAGAAAACTTTTGTGGTTTTGAGTACATTTAAGTTATTTCAAACATTGATAACTTGGGTTATTATTTAAGTTATTTCAAACATTTGATAACCTGGGTGTCATCAAAATTAAAAACCTCTCTTTTTGAGACACTGTTTAAAGATAAGGAAAACCACAAACTTGGAGAAAATATTTGATAAAGAACATATATCTGATAAAGAACTTGATTTCAAGTTTATAAAAAAGTTTCAAAATTCAATTATAAGGAAACAAGCAACTCAATACAAAATCTGAACAGATATTTTATTGATGAAGATGTACAAATAAAAATAAGCCCATGAAAAGATGTTCAATATTATGAATCATTAAAGAAAGGCAAATTAAAATGAAAATCAGATACCTACTAGAATGGCTAATAGGAAAAAGACTGATCATCTCAGGTGTTGAAAAGTATATGGAGGAACTCTCATTCAATGCTGGTGGTAATGTTACACAGAATAGCCATGTTGCAAAATAGTCTGGCAGCTTCTTAGTTAAAGATGCAGCTGCTATATGATTAAGTTATTATAGTCTTATGTATTTACTGAAGAGAAATAAAATTACATATCTATAGAAATACTTCAACACAAATGTTCACAGAAACTTTATAATAATCAAAAGTAGGCAACAACTCAAATATCCATCAACAAATAAATGGATAACAAATGTGGCATATCCATACCTTGAAATACTACTCACATAAAAGGAATGAACTATTGATACACTCAACAACATGGATAAACCTCAAAATAATTGTACGGAATGCAAAAAGATAGGCCGGCCAAAAAGAGTACATACTGTATTATTTCATATATATAACATTCTGGAAAAATGCAAGCTAACAATATCAGAAAGCATATTGGGGTTTACCTGGGGACATGAGCAGGAGTGGGGAGGGGAAGGAGAGAAGGATTACAAAGGAGTACAGTGAAATGTTTGTCGGTGATGAATATTCGAATATTCTTGTTGTCTTAATAGTGGCGATAAGTATACACACATGTTAAAATGTATCAGATTATACTATTTATGTCTAGGTTATAATGTATAAAATTATACTATTCATGTCTAGCTTATTTATGTCAATTACACCTCAATGAGTCTGTTAAAATAATTCAGAAGTGTGATGAGTCTTCATAAAGGGGAAGGTCAGAGTGCTACGGGAACATAAAATGTGGTAACTTCCTCTAGGCTCCTTCTCAGGGCACCTACCTAAACTGGTAACAGGCTACATAAGGTCTTGGGAGCTTTTTGAAAATCTGAGAAGGAATTTATATCAAGGAAACTAAAAGCCAAGTCAGTGACGGGAGATAACTTAAAAGCATCAGAAATAAGAAAGGTAGCACATTTAGAGTTTTTTTTCAGCTTTAATAAAAGTTATGTTAACAGCAACTTAATGAATCATGTTTTATAGCACATTTATTATTAGAAAAAAGAATCCCAGCCTCTATTATGTACTGAGTATTTGTATAGTCTCTGCATATACAGACATGAAATATGTCTATATATATATAAATATGCCTATATATATATGCCTCTCTCTCTCTCTCTCTCTCTCTCTCTCTCTCTCTCTCTCTCTATATATATATATATATATATATATAATCATTCCTAGATCTCTCTCTCTCTTATAGAGAGAGAGAGAGAGACAGAAAGAGAGAGCTAGGAATGATAATATGAACAATAATAATCAAACATTAGTAAATATTATTTAAATAGCATAAATATTTCATCAAGTCCTCTACATAGACCATCATGTCACCTGGGACTAGACAGATTTACTTCTTTTTCAATCTGGATGCTTTTTTATTTTCTTGCCTAATTTCACTGGGGAGAATCTTTAGCAGTGTTAAAGAAAAGTGATGACCATTCTAAGTAACACCGAGGGTTAGTTCAGTGATCTCATCAACTTAGCTTCCACAAAGCCTCCTGGTTCCTGTTTTCTACGTATCTTTCGTCATCTCAGTAAGGCAAGTGAAAAACTTTGCTGAGAAAACACTGTTCCTGCCCTTCCCTCAAGGCAACGTCCAACTTAAACAAATTGGCCCATGCTTGATACACACTTGCCATTCATGTCCTCAAGCTTCTGAAGGCCTGTCAGCAAATGAATGAATGGAGGTCATGATTATCCTTACACTGTCAACAGTCAGCAATTGTTGGGACTGAATTATTCTCATGGCTAGTTATTAAATAAATGCTATTATTTAAATAGCATAAAAAGTTGCACCACATTATAATTAGTGTTAATTAGGACAAGATTTCATCAGGGTTGCATGTAGCATGTGACATGTGCAGAAAATGGATTCAACAAGAGCACCTAGAGGTACTAAACTCAGAGGGATGGATTTACCTTAAATAAATTTCATATATATCAACATATATGGTAGACAGTGACTCATTGATTTACATTGAGAATTAAAATTTCTGAATGTGTAAGAATGCTTATGCTATCAGGTAAGCACATACTCTCCCAGGTTGGAAACAGCAAAATCATTTTTAGAATTTTGCTTTGAAAGAATGTAGCCAGAGCTGAGCGCAGAAAAAGATGAGTCTTTACTATAGAAACAGACCTATCAATGCTAAGTTCCAGTACATTTGAGCACCCTTTCCCCTGGACCACGAGGGAGTCATAAGTATGACAATTTTTTGTTTTCCTTTAAAAATCTGAAGTGAAGCATCTTTCTTCTGTGGGTGCATATTTTATTGGTGAAATCGTGTCCCCCAAATCCCTATACTGAAGTCCTAGACCCAGTACCCTACTGACCTACTGAGGTCACCCTCTGAGAAATAGGATTTTTGCTGATGATCACATTAAGATGTGGTCATTAGGATGAGCCCTAATTTAATATGGCATTTGAAGATGAAGGCAGGGATTGAAGTGATGCATCTATAAGCAAAGGATGTCAAAAATTGCCAGAAAATCACCAGAAGCCAGGAAAGAGTCATGGAACATATTCTCTTTCACAGCTCTTGGAAGGAATCAACACTGCTGATACCTTGATCTTAGACTTCTAGCTACCAGAACTGTGATAAAATAAATTTCTGTTGTTTCAGCCACCCAGTTTTTAGTATTTTGTTTACTTCAAACAAATACACAAAATTTCTTAGGCTGGTGCAACGTTTATGTCTAGTTTTTCTTTCTATGCCTAGACTACATCCTTCAATTAGATTTCTATACCTACTGCTATGGTTCAGAAGATACTCTGTCTCCTAGTCCCCTAAAAGGACTTCTGCAGAAATATCTCATCCACTCTGATTTAATTTTACTGGTTTAGCTCTTAGAGGTAGTGGTGGTTTTCCCATAAAAGTCATATTCGCTCACACTTGTATAATGCATTTATATAAAGCACTATTCTGGGAACAATCTGATTTTTCATTTGGCTACCCAAGTACCCTGTGAGATAAAAAGAATCCTACCATTCACACCTTATATCCAAATTGCAGGTGTTAACTTTAGACAAATTGAACAGAGTTTGAGCAAAGAATGATTCATGAATTGGGCAGCACCCAGAACCAGATGTTCAGGGAGCTCTACTCTGCAATGTGGGCAATGAATGTTTACACACAACAATGGAGGTAAAATGCAGAAATAGCTTGATTATTTACAGCTAGGCATTGCCTCATTTGGACATGATCTGATGAGCTGGCCTCATGTGATTGGCTGACACCCTTATGAGTGGCTGAGACCTGGCTGTTACAAAACATAGACTTTTAGTTGGCTTTCAATTTTTTTACATATAAAAAGGTTGCAGGGTTTTTTTTTGTTTTTTTTTTTTTGAGATGGAGTCTCACTCTATCGCCCAGGCTAGAGTGCAGTGGTACGATCTCGGCTCACTGCCACCTCCGCCTCCCAGGTTCAAGCGATTGTCCTGCCTCAGCCTCCTGAGTAGCTGGGATTACATGCACACGCCACCACGCCTGGCTAATTTTTGTATTTTTAGTAGAGACAGAGTTTCACTGTGTTAGTCAGGCTGTTCTCGAATTCCTGACCTTGTGATCTGCCCACCTCGGCCCCAAAGTGCTGGAATTACAGGCATGAGCCACCGAGCCTGGCCTTCTTTTTCCTTTTTTGAGACGGAGTTTCACCCTGTTGCCCAGGCTGGAGTGCAGTGGCGTGATCTCAGTGAGTTGGTTGCTCACTGCAACCTCTGCCTCCCAGGTTTAAGCGATTCTCCTGCCTCAATCTCCCGAGTAGCTGCAATTACAGGTGCCCACCCCATGCCTGACTAATTTTTGTATTTTTAGTAGAGATGGGTTTTACCATGTTGGCCAGGCTGGTCGCAGTTTCTTACCTAAGAATTTAAAGTAGGGAAATATCCCCAGGCCAATTATTTAATTCCTGCTTATTTAATTTAACATAGGCATCTTCATGTTAATTGGCTACAATGGCCAGATTCAAGTCAAAGAGATTTGATTTTCAAAAACAAGGCATAAAATACAATGGAGATATCAACAACTTAAGAACCCTACAGAGTATCTGACACAATGACCAAATGAAATAAGGGAAATATTGGAATTGAATTACTTTTTCATAATCACCAGCCACCTAAATTCTTGGGTATTGAGAACAACTTAAACATCCTTCTTTGATTTAGTTTTTTATAGAGATTCTTGAAAGTCCATTATCGCTTTTGATACTGACTGAGGTATTAGTATAGTTCATGCATTCACTCATTTACTCATCCATCAGCATTTACTAAATGCCTACTCTGTTCTAAGCATCATGCCAAGTGTTTTGTATTTAGTGGTGAGCCACACAGGCATGGTCCCCTCTTTCATGTTATACACTGTCTAATGGGAAAATGCTATTTAATTAATACACCATTATAAGTTGTGGTAAGCACTAGAAGGAAAAAAAAAAGACTCTGAGTGTTATTAGAAAGAATAATGTAAAACCAAATGCTTAAGTACTTTGTATTTTTACTAAACATATCAGTCAAGTAAAAGAGACCTAACAGAAAGTTTTAAAGAAGCAACAACACTGGGGAATGGGACATAATTTCAGAAAGAGCAATGCCTGGGCTGACCTCAGGAGCAATGGGATCCAGGTATGCTAAATATTGGATGCTGATACCAGTACTATTTATTTCCTCTTCTCTTGTCTATTTCTCTCTGTGTATCAACTCCATTCACTTCTATTCGAAATCTCCTTTGTCCATTCTGGTGTTTCTAGGCTTATATCTTCACAGATTGAAGGCAATGCATGACAAGGGCCTTCCTTGCTAGCTCTGGTTACTTGGTAGAAAAAGTCCCTAAGAAATACTCCAATGGGCTCAGAATGAGTGTTTCATTCTGAGGAGCTACCCTTTAATGGTAAAACCAGAACTTAAGTACAGGATACTGAAGAGTAGACAACACTAAAAGAAACTGCATAAAAACTCCAGTTAGCTTAAACAGCTTTCACTTAAGTATTTCCTTTAACAAGCTAGGCAGCAACTGTGAGCAAGAAAGAAACAATGAGGGAGGAAGCCATATGCCATTTGCTCAGGAATTGGCTGGACTCTCATTGCTTTGGCCTCCTTCTGTGCTCCGCCAGTGTTTCCCATCACATTCAGTGTATGCAAAGCCACAAGCAGCTCCGGAGCAATGCAGGGGGTTACTGCTCTCTTCACCCTGGCAGAGACTGGGCATACATACTAATTAGGATCCTGGGAGCTCTTGGGGTGCGTTACATTCCGCTGATTGGCAGTTGCAAACCTCATCTTCTGATTTGCCACAATCAAAGGTACATTAACTGGTACAGCATTGCCTACATGCATTGTTTACTACTCCTTAGCAGCACATTCATAACTTTTGGTATTTTCTAAAATACATTTATCATTTTGAGGTTCAGCACGTATTTATCTCTTTTGAGTGAAAGAACCATATGCTTGCCTGTAATGGGGTAAACACTTACAACTTTATACTTGTGAAAAATGTGTTTATAAGCACAGGTCCATGTTGGGCAGGAAAGCTTATTTGCTACTTTTAAGCACAGCAAACATGTTTTTTATTTACTTCTGTTGGAATGAGAGAGAACTGTCACAGCCAAGAGGAGCCTAAGGAGTCTGGACCACAGAATGGAATGTGACATCCTGGATGGGATTTCACATTACGCAAAAGCTAAGAACATCTGAATTTAGTATGGACATTAGCTAATAATAATGTGTCAATGTTGTTCATTGATTTTAATCAATGTACCATACTAATGTAAAATGTTAATAATTGGGAAAAATGGGAATGGCTCTGTGGGAACTTGCTGTGCTATCGGTACACATTCTATGTAAATCTGAAACTGTTATTTTTAAGAAATCGGAGATGAGGCATTCTTTATAAAAATTCATTTCACCTATCACAGTGAGTCACGTTGTATTCCCACCTACTCACCGAGGTCAGAGGGATTGGTTATTATGATTGAAAAGCAGAGAAAAGAAGGGAGCGGTCTTCTGAGTCCCACAAAACAGTAGCAATTACATTTGGTTACAGTCATGGGTATTTGAACACTGAATTTTCAATACCTTTGGTATTTGATATGAATTATTAATGGTGCACAGCTAAAATGTAATTTTTCACTGATAAACTGATGACAGAATTTGAGATTTTAAAAGTACCATTCAATAAATACAAATTGCTGTTATGTTTATCTCTAACTACATCTGTTTACAGAATACATAATAGCTCTTCTTTTCCTTATGTAATAATCCCAAGCTAAGAATCTTCATTCCCTCGTGGTTTTCTCATACTCTTTTCCTCCTCTGCTGTTCTTTTTGTCCCTTTTCTTTGACTCTTCCAGCAATATTTATTGAGCATTAGCTCTCTTACAGTCACTATGCTTAGGCACCATCAACTAATATATCACCAGTGGGAGAGATGCATGCAAACACAAAATGAATTCACTGTGCAAGGATAAATAAGACAGCTGTCTTTCTGTTTACAAAGGATCTTTCAATGGTTCTAGGTTAGAAGGACAGATTGGCACAAACTAATTATTGAAGAGAAAGTCTGCTATAGGGTAGGAAAAGTCAGAAGACCCACGTTGGCCATGCGGGTATGGAAGACTTGAGGTGAGGCCCATCCCCTTCCATGGCCCCAGCTTTCTCTTGGGGCCATGGGATGAAGATGCCTCCAGCTCAACATTTGGGTGTTTGACTATAAGGGCTAGGGGCTCTTTAAGATATATTTGCTCCATATGATATTTAAAGATTTCTAATTCTCCAAGGATTGGCCAAGGAGGGTTTTCCTGTTTTTCCAAGCTGCCCCGCAGAACATATTATACTGTCCAGAAATGATGTTTAAAGTTTCAATAGCTTCTGGTTCTCTGGGCCACATCACCTTGCAGTTGCCCTCAAATTGTTTCTGAATCACGTTTCCTCTGGCATGAAGCAGGAGCCCTCGGTTCACATTACTCCTTACAATGCACAGCGCTCTCACCCTGCTGCAGAGGAGCTTTAATGTCAGAATGAAAAATGATAAAGCATAAATGAAATAGCAACCACATGTTCTCCGCAGTGTGGCCCTGGGCCTGCATGGCCTTTCAAAGGAGGGAGTAAACCAATTTTGCAGCACTCAGTAACAGAGATAGAGCCTGCCGAAAGGGAAGACTGCCTCCACAATCCACAACCTGGGGGAAACTGGGGACAGGAAGGGTTGACTTGCTGGCCAGAGTCACCCCAGAAACTGCCACTGTATGTGGAGTGCAGTACAGTGAGGGAGATAAAAAATCAGTGGGGAATGGAGAAGGTAGAGGACTACATTCAAGTCTCTATTAGCTCAGTCTATCCAGTTGATTCTACACTTTGATTGTCACATCCTTCTTTCCTCCTTATTCCTAGCCTTTCTTGTTCTCAGTTGGGTTCCTGTGGTATCCTTCTGACTGTCTAATTACTACAAGTAAAGTGATTTTAAAAAAAAACTGAGCTTTTTATGTTCCCTTATAGTAAAACAAGTCTAGACTCCTTTACACAATTTAAAATTTCTTTATGATCTTACGTCTCTTTTCCTGAGACTTTTTCAGGACACACTCACCTTATGTCTTAACAAACTACTCACAGTTCTCTTGATATATCATGCTCACAGCTCTCTTGACATACCATGCTCATGCACTTTTGTGTCCTTGCCCATGCCTTTCCGCAGTCTGAGAAGTCTTTGCCTCACATTGACTGACTGAAGAATTAATACTTATTCTTTAAGGTTCAATTCAGACATCACCTACTCTGTGAAGCCTATCTGATAGCTGTTATAGAAAAATTGTACTTCCACAGCTCTCTGGATAAATGTGGTCCCTTCCGCATTTATTACAGCATTTATCTAATTATATATTGTAAATACTTATTTACAATTCTGTTCTTGGCTTAACACCATGTGCAACTCAAACACAGGAGCTCTTTTCTAAACCTTGTTGTCCAGTGGTGTACTGGGGCAAGATATACCACTTGCAAGGGCCAATTGTATGCATCTATCCTACCTCTAACTTCATTGACGGCATATTAGTAGTTCAAAATCAACCATAGTGAAATTTATAGTACAGAAATTGGCAAATACTACCAATCAGCCTCACCTCTCACCTCCCAAAAAACAATTGTGAAACATTTACTGGTATTCTTACATTCATCTTCACTGCTTACATTCATCTTCAAAACCTAGCACAGGTTCTGAAATAGTGTTTACCAAAAACTAAATGAGTAAGGATATAAATTAATGATCTAGAATCAATGAACTAATAAATGATCACATTAGTATCTACTTAGTCTCATCAGTGCTTTCATAATAAATTTTCATCTGTAAAAGGAGGACATCCTAACTACCTATACAGAGAATAGCAAGGTGAGATGGATGGGGAAATGTTGAAATACATAAATCACATCATGTATACAAATCACAAGGGATTCAAATTTGTTTCTTTATTTTCAATACCTGTGTAGGAATGCTGTCAAATAGGTGATGAATGAAGAGTTGAAGGGTGGTCTGAATCCTTCCTATAGGCCACATACTCTTATTTTCTCTCATCCATAGGCTTTAGGTGCCATCTGCAGCAATTTTCAGATCCTTATACTTCTAATAAATGAATCAAATTGCTTGCAATATATCCCATCATCTAGTTTTAAATAGCTTAACTCTTACTAAAGAAGTATATAAAATTAATGGCCTTTGAATCCTGTTTAATTTGTATTGACTCATCGCTATGAATCTCATGTGCTGTCCCCAATCACTTTCACCCCCACTTCAGCTTCAAAAACTAGATCTGATTGAATCTCAGCCTATTGCCAAAATCTAGAAAGAATTTTTATTTATTACAAGGCCTACAAAAATGTACTGAGAAAGATAATCTGGGATCTATTCTTGCTAGGCTTCTGAAACCAGATTGAGCATACTGGCATGAATAGTGCAAATGATCTTTTGTGCCTTCACCTGCATTTCCAACTTGGTTCAGGAAGAAAAGATCCAGAGAGCATAAATGCTGTCCCTCTACTGTGATGACTCCTGCTTTTTGACTACACCAGACTTTTTTCTACTCTTCTCCACACCTTTTTTTTAGGCTTTCCCTTTCTGAAACCATTTGGAGGGTGCAACTCTTTCCACAGGGTTAGACAGGAACTTCCTATGTGTATGAGTGGACATGGCTCAGTGGACAGGTAAGGGGTGTGAGTAAGGTTAGAGTTGGGTCATGTTACCCTTGAACCTGAAAGCCCTAGAAATGCCAGGATCTAAATGGCAGGGGAGAGAGTCATATACAGAGAGTTCAACTTTTTCTTTTTTCTAATTTACTTTAAAAGAAAGAATGAAAGGAAATATTCTATCTTGACAAGATTATGGGTAACATTGTTTTCTTTTTGAAAATTTGATAATTTATGTTACTTTTAATAAGTAACATAAATTTAAGACGCATTCTTTAAATAAGTATGAAACAGACACTTTTAACTTGAGGGCTAGAGGAGAATTATTCTGGCACATTGGAGTGGAGGGAGGTCTTTCCAGATATTCAACAGCAGGGCAAGGCGTTATGGACTGGTCTTCCCATTAAGAGGCCAAGTCAAAGCTTTAAGAAGCCAGGAGCCTTTTTCTTCTTGGCAAATTCTCAGGGGATCTACATAAACAGAGATGAGTGTGGGTCCTTGTCCTCAGTCTTCCATCGTTCATTGTGTGTGGTTCCCAGTTGAGAGCTGAAGGAGAAGCTAGCATCCCCAGAAAGCCTCTTTACCTCCTCTCTCTCTCTCTCACTCTATGACAGCCTTAAGATAAAGCATGAGATTTGCATTTGTCAAGGAAAGTAAGACTGTAGCTCAATAAGCGGCAAAACAGAAACTGCTAAGTATTTTTCCTCCAAGGGCAAGAGAGCATTTCAGTCTTTCCCTTTAGCATCCACAGAATATAGCACAGTTCCAGGCTTCTGGTAGTTTCTAAATTGAAGCACAAAAATGTACATTCATTTGTGTAAGAATAAACAGACTAAAGCCTAGGGCTTGCGTCTTTGGCACCTCTGAAAGTTGCTAATTGAAATATTACTGGAGCCACAGTATAAGGGGTGGGCCTGTGAAGGGCAGGGTAGAGTGCTGCATGGGAAAGTACAGTCTTGACAATGTGCCCAGGGAAGTTTAGAAACAGGAAACTTAGACACAGCCAGTTAAATATAATGCCAGGCTCTGAGCAGGAGAAACTTGGTTGGTGACTTTGTGAGTGGCACTCTATGACTCTACAAGCTACTGGGCAGTAGATATTATTAAAATTCTGAAAAGGAAGGTAGAATGGCTGGTCTTTATGTAAAAAAGCCAGTTGGCTATTACTTAAGCAAACAGTCAGGCAGGCTGGTGGATGGCTGTATTTCTTTAACTCCTGCTCCCTTTGACCTCTGTCTTTGGAGCCTGGTCAGAGGATCCGTGATACACATAGCTGAGGCTGGCCTTTGTACCTTGAGTGGCTAGATAGATGTGAGTGCACAGAGGTTCTAGTCTTTACTATTTCAATATTTCTACAGGCACCTCAGTCCCTTTTGAGAATTCAAAATTGGGGCTAGAAGTAAGAAAATTTATTTGCAGAAGCAACACAAAAATGTTCTACGGGCACTCTAGGATTATAGGTGATATAGTTTAGCTGTGTCCCCACCCAAATCTCATCTTGAATTCCCTCATGTTGTGAGAGGGACCCAGTGGGAGGTAATTGAATCATGGGGGCAGGTATTTCCCATGCTGTTCTCATGATCGCGAATAAGTATCACGTGATCTGATGGTTTTGAAAAGTGGATGTCTCCCTGCACAAGCTCTCTTTCTGCCTGCTGCCATCCATGTAAAACATGACTTGCTCCTCCTTGCCTTCTGCCATGATTGGGAGGATTCCCCAGCCACGTGGAACTGTCAGTCCAGTTAAACCTCTTTCCTTTCTAAATTGCCCAGTCTCAGGTATGTCTTTATTGGCAACATGAAAATGGACTAATACATCAGGTTTCCAATCTTTGTGCCCAGGTTCCCTAGGATGCCACAGCATATTTATAGGGAAGCCACAGGCTTTTAAATTTTCTTAACTGAAAAAATCAATTTCCAGGGGAACACAGCCAGGGACACTGGCATCTGTATTGCATCATGTGAACTACTGACTCAAGGTAGGGCACAGTTTTAACATTAGATTGTATCACATCCCTTTCAGTGATGCTATATTTTTGCAAATAACCAAAAATTGTTTTGGTGGTTGTGGATAAAAAGCACACACTGCATATAAATTAATGTGAAACAGGAAACAAGAGTGTCAGCATTCAAGCTGACTCCAAATTTTGTGGTTTCACAGGGTTCACTGAGTACACATCTCATTAGTGAGTAATTGTAGATTTTTTTTTTTAGTTTTTGAGATGGAATTTCGCTTTCGCCCAGGCTGGAGTGAAGTGGCGTGATCTCAGATCATTGCAACCTCTGCCCCCTGGGTTCAAATGATTCTCCTGCCTCAGCCTCCCGAGAAGCTGCGATTACAGGCATGCACAACCATGCCTGGCTAATTTTTGTATTTTTAGTAGAGACGGGCTTTTGCCATGTTGGCCAAGCTCTTCTTGAACTCCTGACCTCAGGTGATCCACCTGCTTTGGCTTCCCAAAGTGCTAAGATTACAGGCGTGAGCCATCGCACCCAGCCATAATTGTAGTTTTTAAAGAATGGAATAAAAATGTTTTTTCCCTTGTTATGTTCAGTATATTATTTTTTTTTCAAATGATTACAAAGGCATAAATGCCTATCAAGTTTTTTTGGAACTAACTACTTACTAAGGGGAAATATGTGTTAGTATGTTTTTGGTCTATGAGTACTGTGAAAAACTTATTGAGACACTTAAGGACACTGTCCTTCAAGAAAGTATGGTACTTTCTGTACTAGGCAAAGGTGGTTGGTGATCTTACAAAAGGACAACTCTCAAGATTCCTATTCTAGTTTAGGTTTCCTAGACCTGAGGGGATGAAGGAAGTAACTGGTTCCAGTAAGTATTTGACAAATATTTCTTGGTGAATATTTTCTCTGAACATTTATTGAGACAGGTACTAAACAAAACATTTGAAGTGCATTATCTCATTTAATTCTTAAAAATGTCGCAATGAAGTAGGTATTATATCTTACAGATGAAGAAACCAAAGCTCAAGAGGTTAACTGAATTTCGTAAGTCACGCAGCTAGTAAATGTCATTTGAACACAAAATGGTTTGACTTGAAGCTAGTGCTTTTTCCATCACACCACACTTTCCCCGAATGGATGGGTGGATGGCTGCTGGGACAAATCAAAGGCCTGGCGTTTCTGAACAGGAAGAATACTTTAAATGCCATGGAATAGTGGAGAGAGCTAGATTGGGTATTTTCTTGTGCGAAAAAAATAATCAATCAAATACTCTCCTTTAGCATACTGAATAAATAAAATCAGAATGCCTAATATATCTACATCGAATTCTGCAAAGTTTATCCTCTCTTTTGCCTTTCAAAAGTACAGAAGAACTATATTCTCTGTTACCACACAGTTAAGTCCTAAGGACTTAGTAAAGTCATAGGCTGGTCCAAGTTCAAAGAGGACAATCCCTTCAGCTCTGCATCTCCTTCATCTGACTAATACAGTCACAAACCACTGGTCCAAATGCTTGGGATGTTTGAGATATTTCTGCCACAATCAAGCATATCTATTTGCATAAAATATTTAGATATTAAATTTCTAATGCTAAAAAAAAATCCTTCAGAGCAGAAGTGTGTTTTTCTTAACCTCATTTGTTTTCGAAAAGAGAGAATGAGAAAGAAAAGAAATGCATCATGCTTTACATAAAGGAAATAGCTCCAGGCAAAGCTTGCTAAATATTTTAATGGTTTAAACATTCATTTTAGCAAGTTTTCTTTAATTTTCTTAACTTTGTTCCTTTTGAACTGGCTCAACCTTCATGTTTAATCCTTGGAGCTTTCAAGGAACAGCCCACAGAAAGTTATATACACAAATATAACAAACATTTCAAATAAAGCACAATGCATAAAACAGAGAACAGGAGAACTCTGACAACAGCTGCTAGATTTAACACTAATAGTTTTGAAAGATTTTGGCTTGAAGGTTAAGAGTATCTTATGACAATAAGCAGGCTTTGTATATAATGTCAACAGTCCCGTTGCAACATGTCCAGTTTTAATTTATTCTTTTTCATTTGTATAAGACAAATAATATAATTATGGATGTCTGGTTCATGACATTAAGTTTTAAGAAGTCCAAAATCAATCTTATTTTTCAGGAATAACACCTTTTTTAAATTTCTGGCCTATATGCTTGTAATGGTTTAGTCTAAACATGATAATATGCTCTAAGTCTTTATGCATTTATTTTATTTAAATGAGTGTTTGGTGCATCGGTGCTTCTGCGAGTGTGAAAGTGATTGAACTTTCCACCCAGTTTGCTTCTTCAGAGGGTATCATAACTGATACTCAGTCTAGAGATGGGAGTTGTGTGCAAGGACCTCCCTCCTGCCCCACTGACCCGGCACACAGAAGTTTTCAGAATCACCCTCTGGCCTGCCTCTGGCAAAAGCTCTGGCACCATCCCAGGCAGATCAGAAAGTTTTTACATACATTCACACATAGATAGAAACACACATGTGCATAAAACGCTCACATACACACACAGGCAATCTTGTAAGTAAGACTCTCTGTCAGTCTTGGCTTAAGATGTCAGGTCATAAATCTCAGAAGGGTGTTTCATAATTGATTAAACATTTAGAAGACACAAAATAAACAAAACACACAACTAGGCTGCTATATAGGAGGCAGATGAGAGTGAAGCATGGCTTTCAGAAGGAGGGAGGGTTCAGCATAGAGTTGAGGATGAGTTCCCTCTCATGAACACGTAAGTCAACAACAAATGCCCAGCAGGGCAGTACCACAGAGTGACATGGACTTCCTTCTGTGTTTGGGCTAAGAACACCAGCTCTCTCTCCACATTGAGGTGGGCTATACAACAGACCTGGTTTCTGTAGCTCAGAGTCCAGGTCAGGTGACAAAACCAGGCAAGCTCACAATTTTGGAGTCCTGCTCCCAAAGGCACACCTTGGCCTAGAGTGCTACTCTCTAGAAAAAATTCCACAGTTAAAAAAATAACACTAATAATATTTTTTAGTATATTCTGTGTGACAGGCACTGTAATGGGTGGTTTACTAATATTTTCTCACTGATTCTTCTCTGCCTTTCTATGAAACAGGTACTATTATCTCCATTTTGTATGTAAGAAAACTGAATTAATAAACTTTCCCAAATATATGGCAAATACCGTACACAAATTCAGATCTTTCTCCTTAAAAAATCTGCAGCAGTCGCTGTCATTCGAAGGATAAAAATGCCTGGGATTGGACAAATGACCTCATGCATGATGATGCGATTTTTTTCTTGGTTATATTGCCCTCCTATGGGAGTTCAAGATTGTCCCTTTTCACATGTTTTTCTACTCCGCGGCACTTTCTTGTGCAAGCATTAGAAGTACTCCCCTCCCCACACTTGCACTTCCATAAGTGCCTGCCAGTTAGTTGAGCCCACCCTGAAACAAACATGGGTACACATGCACACACGCACAGGTGTCTGTGCTAACCTCTGATATCTCATTAAACTAGTACTGAACATCAGGGAAGACTTAGACACTGCAGGATTCAACCCTCTCATTTTACTGATAAGTACACTGAAGGGACTGGTCTAAGAATAAAGAGGACACCATTTCACAGACATTCCCAGAGTCTTTATTTTTTATGCAGAGCCCTGTTTTGTTCAGGAGATAAGCAGAACAAATATGAGATCCATGCTCTCATTGGTTTGTAGTCAAGAAGAAATAGATAGGTGACCTCGGAATTGCAGCTCAGTGTGGTAAGTGCTTTTCCTAGGATAAAGGTCAAGTGCTAAGAGAGGAAGAGAGGGGCACTGGCACACAGTAGAAGCCTGCTACTCAGGTCTCCTATACCTCAGTCTTTTATTTAGATAGAAATGTAATAAAATTGCTGGTGGCCATTTTCAGCACTTGTAGAAATTGATGCTCTATGCTTATTTCTCTAGCAACAATGACCATGAAGGTGTCTATAGCCCCAGAATTGAGAAGTGCACTCGGCTCTGTTTCTGTAGCATGAAGGGACTTCTGATTTTACGTGGCACTTACCCTTTTGTCACCATACTATGAGCTTCTTGAGGGCAGCAATCATTTCTATGCATTGTATACCCAGGGTTAGCATCGGGCCTGGCACATGGAGAAGGTTCAATGTAAGTGTGTTGAACGAACAAAGGCCACGGTTAGATAGAAACTCAATATGGAAGAAGTGTTGCCTCTTTACACCACTCCCTTGGTCTGAAATGGCATCCACTGCACTGCATGAAGCCCAGGCTTCCATGCAGGATGCTTCCACAAGCCTGGGCAGCTGAAGTTTTAACTACTACTAGACTCTGGGGTCTCAAACATGATGGTTTCACTAAATCTACCCTCTTATTCCACTTTGAGGGACAGACAAGCCCCTATATGGCCAGAAACTAAGCCCAGGCACAGAATCAGCTTCACTGCAGAGCAAAGCTCCATCTTAATGCAAGCATTTTTGGGCAGTGTGGTATGTGGTGGGGGAGAGCGGCAGGCACCAGGATACTTAGGTAATCAGCTCAGCTCTGTCACTAACCATGTGTTAGTGACTCTGTGTGAGTTCCATGTGTGGAATTCACTCCACTTAATGTCCAAGATCAGCAAGATGAAGGAATTAGGTGAAAGATGGTTTCTATAGTCTTATGTCACTCTAACATCCTGTAGTTCCTGTAGTTAATTAGTCTGGGCAAAGATTTTATGACTAAAACCTCAAAAGGAAACACAACAAAAACAAAAACAGACAAATGAGACTTAAACTAAAAAGCTTCTGCACAGCAAAAGAAATAATTAAGAGTAAATCGATAACCTATAGAATGGGAGAAAATATTTGCAAACAATGCATCTCACAAAAGGCTAATACCAAGGATCTACTAGGAACTCAAAGAACTCAGCAAGAGAAAAATAGGTAACCCCATTAAAAAGTGGCCAAAGGACATGAACAGACATTTTTCAAAGGAAGACACAAAAGTGACCAACAAACATGAAGGAATGCTCAACATCACAAATCATCAGAGGAATGCAAATTAAAATTATAATTTTTTTTTGAGATGGAGTTTTACTCTGTTGCCCAGGCTGGAGTGCAGTGGAGTGATCTTGGCTCACTGCAATCTCTGCCTTCCGGGTTCAAGCGAGTCTCTGACTTCATCCTCCTGAATAGCTGGGATTACAGGGATCCACCACCGTGCCAGGATAATTTTTGTATTTTTAGTAGACACAGGGTTTCACCATGTTGGCCAGGCTGGTCTTGAACTCCTGATCTCAAGTGATCCACCTGCCTCAGCCTCCCAAAGTGCTGTTATTACAGGCATGAGCCACCATGCCCAGCCATGATATATATACACATATATATGTATATACATACATATGTGTATATATACCACACATACGTGTATATATATATACTCACACACATGTGTGTATACACACATATACGCACACGCGTGTGTATATATACACATATATGCACACACATATACGTATGTGTATATATACACACATATATATACACATTTTGTCCCAATATATTGAACTTTTATGCTTAAAGGCTGTGACTGATCACCCTATCCTACTACTCTTAAACAGAAGTATAAAATATATATTTCATAATATATATTATATACAAAAATTGAGATATGATTTTTAGTTATTTCTAGTATTTTTCTATATACACACACATATATATGCACATAGGTGTGTGTATTTTCTATATACACACACATATATATGTGTGTGTGTATATATATATATACATTTTTTTTTTCCTTTTTAAACTAGCCATTCTGATTGGTGCCAAAATACAACAGGAATCATTCTATCAAAAAGACACTTGTATGGTTATTGCAGCAGTATTCACAATAGCAAAGTCATGGAATCAGCCTAAGTGTCCATCAACGAATGTTTGGATAAAAACCATAGGTATGGAATACTACTTAGCCATAAAAAAGAATGTAATCATGTTTTTGCAGCAATATGGGTGGAACTGGAGGCCATTATCCTCAGTGAAATGACTCAGAAACAGAAAGTCAAAAAGCACATGCTCTCATTTCTAAGTGGGAGCTAAACAATGGGTACACATGGACACACAGAGTGGAATAATAGACACTGGAGACTCCAAAGATGGGAGGGCAAGAAGTAGGTGAGAGATGAAATGTTACCTATTGGATACAATGTACGGTGTTCAGATCATGGGTACACTAAAAGCCCAGACTTCACCATTATGCAATATATCCATGAACACAATTGCACTTGCACCCCAAACCCATAAAAATAAAACATTTAAAATATATACAAAAAATCCTAATTCTGCAGCCATGTCCCACTATCTTCTTACTGCCAGGCACTCTCTCCAAGACCCCAGGGATTTGTTTTACATGACCTTCCTCAGAGTGCCTTGATGGGAGCACGTAGGGGATTTTTGTCAAATGAGCCAAAATCTACATCTATGTTTAATCTTTTCCATTTTTTTAAGTTCACTGTTTTCATTCCTTTTCTTCTTTTTACATTTTCAACAAAATTTTATTTTTCATATACTGTATAAGTACGTATCAAAAATATTTATTTTTATTGATTGCATATGACTAACCTAAAAAATAACTCAAACCAGAAGAAAAACACTTAAAATACAGAAAAATACTAGAAATAACTAAAAATCATATCTCAATTTTTAGATATTCTTCTGTTTAAGAGTGGTAGGATAGGGTGATCAGTCACAGCCTTTAAGCATAAAAGTTCAATATATCGGGACAAAATGTTTTGGTGGATATAGAAAAGAAAGAGTTTTGAAAGAGAGAAAGGATTTATGAACATGTTTCAATTGTTTATTTCTTTTATTTTTTATTTTTTGAATGGAGTCTTGCTCTGTCGCCCAGGCTGGAGTGCAGTGGTGCGATCTTGGCTCACTGCAACCTCCACCTCCTGAGTTGAGGAGATTCTCTTGCCTCAGCCTCCCAAGTAGCTGGGACTACAGGTGTGCACCACCATGCCCAGTTAATTTTTGTATTTTTAGTAGAGATGGGGTTTCACCACATTGGCCAGGCTGGTCTCGAACTCCTGACCTCGTGATTCACTAGCCTCGGCCTCCCAAAGTGCTGGGGTTATAGGTTTGAGCCATGGTGCCTGGCCTTAAATGTTTAATAAATGTATATACCAAGTATATTTTTAAGGCTTTTAGTGGATGTCAAATTGTGAGTTTTAAGGTTCCAATGGATAAAATTCACTGAATAATTGGATTCTTCTAATGTTCACATTTTATTATCATATGCTGGCAGTTACATTCTTTAGAATGATTTAAATTTATAAAGAAACATTTTAGAAGAGTGCTAGGAAACAATGTAGGAGAGCACACAAATATTGCAACAATTCATGAAGATTTTAAAGGATTAAAACAGCTTAAAGACATTGTTGGTGACACTGTTTTTCTCTTGGAAGCCTTGGCTCTGTAGCTATTCCTTATGTTGTAGAGAGATTTCCACGTCTAAAAGCTTGCTAACACCACCATGGTTACTTGAAATGCATCTGCCCTGCTGCTTTTTTCTTATAGTGTTGCTCATCATTACACAAGCTGACATACTTATCAGAAAAGCACTTGGGTAGAAATGACAAAAGCTGGACTCAACTTACTTTAATAAATGTTCATGTAGGAAACGATGGAAGCTCACAAAATTAATGGAAGAGTTGTAGTAACTTCAGAGACAGTAGTCTCACCTCTTCCAGGATGCTGTCTTCACCACTTCTCCCCAGTGTCAGCTGTGTCTCCTGGTGTCAGCTTAATTCTCTCCTGTGTCCCTATAATGCAGAGGACATGGTTACCCTAGGTCTGTAATCATGAAATCCGTGATGATCCTCTTAGAAAGAAAAGGAATTTTTTCTACTTGATCTACTTAAGAGGGTCCTAGAGAAAACACTGATTGCTATGGCATGGATCATATTCCTGTTCCCACATCAATCACTCTCACTAGAGTTGTGGAACATTATTATTATCTGGATCTGAGTCCTATGCTCACATGGCCTCTTGAAAATGGGGTAATGGAACTGGAAGCATGCAAAAACTCATGGTTTCGATGAGGGAGGAGCAGATCCCAAAGAAAAGTTTTCTACTATCAAAACAAGGGAGCAAAAGTGCTGGACATATAGAAACAATAATTGCACATTACATATGATAATAATTACAGCATAATTTATGGACAGCTTAATGTATGTCAGGCTTTTACATATAATTGCATTTACATACAATTTCATTTCTTGTAACAAACATATGAAAAGATATTTCCCTTCATTCATTGATGAAGAAACTAAAGATTAAAAGGCTATGCTTGGCAGGGTGTGGTGGCTCATGTCTGTAATCCCAGCAGTTCAGAAAGCTGAGATAGGAGGATCATTTGAGCTCAGGAGTTTGAGACCAGCTTGGGAAATGTAGAGACACCCCTGCCTCTGCCAAAAAGTAAAAATAAAAAAATTAGCCAGGCATGGCAACATGTGTCATTAGTCCCTGTTACTTGAGAGGCTGAGGCAGAAGGATCACTTGAGCTCCAGATTGTAGTGAGCTATGATGATGCCACTGCTCTCCAGCCTGGGTGACAGAGCCAGACCCTGTCACACACATAAAAAAAGTTAGGCTGTATAGGAATTGCTATGGCTGTGGAGAAAGGTAGAAGAGTCACCCGTAGTTTGAGAAATATTTCTGGATGTCTTTGTTTGATACATCTAAGTAATTGCTCTGGAGGAAGATATAATACAATAAAATAAAAATTAATAAATTATATTGATTATGCATCAAATGAACATTAGAGAGGAGAGACATACAGATACTGATAGAATCAAAATCATGACTATTGAAAGAATATTTGAATCTCAAAAATAGTCTATAGTGCTAAAGCTACAAAAGCCTTTGGAAATTAAATCGCACCTTAAATAAGCACTCAAAAATGCTGAAATTAGATAAATTGCACAATTTGAAAATGGCAATTTAATAAATGGAATACTAAATTCAATATTTGCCTTAACTTTACCGGATATCATCTTTTAGCCACCATTTAGAGAAACTGACAAAATAACCATGAAAGAGAAGCAAGATATTATAGAAACAAAGATGATAAAATATTTGAAAAAATAATCATATTCCAAAGGAAATAGCTATGAAAATGTTTGATATACAAATATGTCACCACAGTTTGATGACATAAGGTAAAAATATAATTAATTTATGTGTATCCTGCAATTTAACCAAGAAAGTTTGCAAATCTCTATAAAGGTGAGCAAAATATCAAGTTTATAAATCAAGTTTATAAAGATAACATTCCAAAAAAGCTTTTGATGACCTATATCATAATATAGTTATTATATTAATATCTCAGATAAAAATATGGGTTAAAAAGTAATGCATGTAGTTACATATGTTCAGCTGAAGATGATAAAGGATTTGGTACCATGAACAATAGAACTGTTGGTTAAAAAAAAAAACTATTTATTGAGCTCAATCACCTAAAGGCTCTCTAATGAAAAGTTTTTGAAAATATGTGCTCATCGCCTCATCAAAATATAGTTACAAACAGGGTTATTATTTAGCTAGTGACACTGTATCAAAATAATGGTCACAAGTACAGTGTTGAAATGTCAATAATGAATTAGAAATTACAAGGATGATTCTATGAATAATTTGCATACCGGTTTATATCACTTGGTAAAAAGTCATAATACACAGTTTATTCACAGAATAAAAAGAGCATTTTAAAGCTTTTATTTCATATTTTGATTTTTTCACCCCATTAGTAGTAAAATGTTTTACTATTCTCTCAGCATTTATGGACAAAGAGTTAAGAGGACATAGAGACCCTTCTCAAGTCAGGTAAAGGCTAAGAGTATTTCCTGTAAAAAGAATCATTCAGATGGTTGAAAGATGGATCATTTCAACACAGGGTCAATAAAAGAGAATATTTCAGATAGAACAAACTCGTGAAATTTTGAATACACAAACTGATGACCGCTACCAAGCACAATAAGTTAGTATTAGAAGACCTTAAGGATATGAGTGGAAAACAAGGTCTGTCAACGTAGATTAGGATCAGATTGTTAGCATCTTTAGGGCCATATGGAGGCACAACATTCTTCTGGCTTTTGTTTATCCCTGATTATTTTTTCTTTAGGAGAATAGTGATATTCCTTATCTGTAAAATGGAATAAACAATTCCTTAAGAGTAATAATTTAATTATTTACAGGAAAGAACCTGACCGAAGGCTGGGTCTATTGTAGATGACTGAAAAATATTTTCTGGCATATAAAAAGTACTTTACCTAGCTAAAATATGTACAGTCTTTTTTCAAACTCACTGAAAACACCAGGATTGAGGGTTCAGTATTAACAGAAAAAATGTTGTAATTTCCCTAAAGAAGATATGCTCTATCTGTGTTAAATCTGTTCATTAACTTATTCCTCAGCATTAAAAATAATAACAAAGGAATGTTTCTGAAACTGATTATGCTTCCTTTTATTACTAAAAATACAAATTGCTAAATTCATCTCATTTTTGCATGACATGGTATACACAGCTTTGCTTCCATGTCTAGTCATGAAATTTTGCTGAGGTTCAGAGCACTTAGCTGGTTGTATATTTTTTGGCTCATATGAAATCCAAGGTAATGAGCTTTAACACTACAAAGGCTCTGGAATGCTTTCAAAAACATTTGCTTCCCACAAGACAAATTAGCTGAACCAAGCAATAAAATGTGACATTAAGCATTCAATACTCCCATTTTTATGTAGTCCCAGGTCAGCTCAAAATGACCCCATTGGGGGCATTTCTGTAATGCCCTTGCTCATGGTTCTACTAAAAACCTGTCTCTAAAAAGCTAATCAATAGTTATTTACGCCTTGTAGACCTCCAAAGAAAGTCTACCTCATAAATTGAACTCAAGGCATTTTGGAAGCTTCTGGACCTAATGCAGTTTATAAGGACCCTCTGTCAAGTGGACCACCATGCGTGCACATATAGATCTACATGTGTCTATGTACATTTGCAGTTTATCATTTTTACTTATTTGGTATTGTATCCTATGATCTTGAGGAAAATTCTAAAGTTGTGTAACAATTAGTGAGATCCTACTGATTTTAACATTTTTAAACAGTCATATTTAGACTGCCTAGTTTTTGAGTATCTTGTTTTTAGAATATGAGATGTGTTCATCTCACTTGGAGTGTCATATTCTATTCTAGGAAAAACATTTCTCTAGGCAAACTGTAGTGGGTCTAAACAAGAGAGGACAGGAGAGGGAAGAAAGATTAAAGCACATCTTACATGGAAGAGTTGTGAAGACTGGTGTGCCTAGAAGAAAAGAAAGTTGAAAGGTGGAGAGAAGAAAAGGAAGCCTCTGCATGTCTGCTACTGTTAGGTTAGAAGGGACCCCAGGGCTTTTAGATGAGGAGCAAGGAACAAAGCAATAGGGAGATAGGGTTTAGGTCAATATGAAAACGACCTTTCTAAAACAATGGTGCAAGAAAGAGTCAACTCTCCAAGTAGAAACTAGGTAAGAGTGATGTTTCAGACTCTTATCAGCCTTGGAATGAAACACCCCAGGGATCCTTACAGCACACAGCTTTGTCCTGCTTGTAGGGTTTCAGGATATCCTAAGCAACCCTGAGCTTCTCAATATGCAAAGCCTTCCATGCCCTAAGGATCCCAAGTTTTCTTTCATTCCCAAACCAGCTTTTTACTTTTGTAAAAGAGAAAGTTAAAAAGCCAAGGCATTAATTTTTAAAAATTCAAATTCACTTTAAGAAATTTTACCTTGACTATTTTTGAGAATTAAACAAATATTTATTCTAGAAAAACTGAGAAAATTGCTCAGTCAGCTTGGTGAACTCCCGCTTGTTTTATGGTCTGTCAAAATTATGGGTGCTTCCTCCTTGTAGGCTACTCTATACCTTGATTAATAGCAAAGAGAAAACTTCAAGACATTAAGGAACAGAATCTCCAATCAGCTTTTCGTGTCCTTTATTTTTTGGAAATGTACTATCCTGACAATTTACAGGAGCCTTCCGCACTTCTTTCACCCTCAGCTTGGAGCAATCCTAATAGTTCTAGGTCTTTAAGCTGACAGCTGTCATTTGTGCACAGGGGCAAAAACAGAGGAGCAGTCATGGCCCGTAGCCAAATTTTGATGGAGAATGTCAAGGCTGCCATTGCATCAAGGACTCCCCACTTTCCTTTTCTATTACAATGCTAAGAGCTGCTATTTAATTATGACCCCTTCTCCTGAAGAATTCTAGTGATGACCTCCATTTATTATGCAACTCATCATAGCACAGTTTTGCTTTTTCAGAGCTGCAAAGGTACCCGTTTCCCTAATCTACTGGGGGAACCAGAAAGAGGAATGTGCACATACTGATTACTCCCACTAAGTGCAATTGATATCTTATCTAAGAGCAGCAATCATGACTGCACCTGTTCTGGTGAAAACAAAAGAAAATGATTAGAGTAGTGCCACGGGGTCTCTGGCCCTTTTTGACACTGCTCTAAAGATTCCTTTGCAAAAATCTAATGGTCACAGTATCAGGGCAGTGGCACAAGTCAGAATTAAAGACTGAACAAGGAAAAATTGCCAAGAGATTAAGTAGAACTGCCAAAGAGCTGGAATAACAGCCAGGGCAGAGATGCAGAGATGACCCACAGGGGTGCAGGATAGGTTTTTTTTTGTTTTGTTTGTGTTTTTGTTTTTGAGACGGAGTCTCGCTCTGTCTCCCAGGCTGGAGTGCAGTGGCGCGATCTCGGCTCACTGCAAGCCCCGCCTCCCAGGTTCATGCCACTCTCCTGCCTCAGCCTCCTGAGTAGCTGGGACTACAGGCGCCCACCACCACACCGGCTATTTTTCTTTCTTTTTTTTTTTTTTTTTGTATTTTTAGCAGAGACAAGGTTTCACCGTGTTAGCCACCATGGTCTCGATCTTCTGACCTCGTGATCCACCTGCCTCGGCCTCCCAAAGTGTTGGGATTACAGGTGTGAGCCACCGCACCTGGCCAGGACTCCCCGTTTATGTCCTGCTGATTCTCTCATGGGGTGCTGTGGAGTTTCTGGCTCCTAGAGACCTTCAGCTCTCTTCTAAGTCAAAGGATCTCTGAAAGTCCATTCTAGGTCTAAGGCTTTACTTTCTCCAAGAGCTTTAAGTTATATATCAACCCACAGCAATTCTGAGTTCAAGAATCAACAAATCAGCCAACCACCAAACACACACAGTCTGTGTGTGTGGCACAAATTTAAAGCAGAGTCACTTTCTCCCCCTGTCTAGCCTAAAAGGAGGATAAGGCATGCACCTGCCGAAAGTTTCGATGATAGTCACCCCAGTCAGTGGATACATATCACCAGCATAGGCAGCAAATATGCCCATTTCACCCATGTTTTTAGCGAAGCTGGACAGGACCAAGTGGAGAGATTTGGAGGGACAACTCTTTGAACCAACATTCTGTTTGTCTGGTGGTTCTCAAATTTGTTTAGCTTGCCAATTACCAGGCAATTCTATAGGATGTTTCATGAAATACTAAAGAATGTTGATGCTCTATGTGTGTGAGTATGTGTGTATATATATATCATAAAATATTGTGTAACATATATCACTTTATATAGGATTGTGCTATATTACAAAGTGGTAGTTGTTTCCACAGTGTAAGAAAAAATTTGTCTTTAAAAATAAACTTAAAACTATGACTATGTTATGAGTGGCAGCCACTTAGGGGCAGCAAGATGAAGGCCAATGTAGTTTTCTGAAATGCAGAGGAAGATATTTACATTTATATATAATATATATGAAGATATTTACATTTGTATATATAATATACATATATCATTTAAAAATCAATAATTAAGTCAAACACTAAAATTTATAATATATAAAGGAAGATATTTACATTCATATACACATAATATATGTATATATATTATTGATTTAAGTATCAATAAGTCAAACACTAAAATTTATAATATATAAAGGAAGATATTTACATTCATATATACATAATATATGTATATATATTATTGATTTAAGTATCAATAATTAAGTCAAACACTAAAATTTAGGAGAGAGTTGAATATAAAATGAAACTTATTCTCTGATTTTGCTTGAGAAAGCAACTTTGAAGAAGCTTAAAAATACATCAATCTTCATCTTCTCCCTTCTTCCATGAAAATAAGTTTTTAAGAGCTATAAGGGCCCCTCCAGAGCTATTATAGGAGTGTTGCCTCACTCCTTGGCTTCCTAGCACACGTAGAGATGTAATTTTCATGTCCTGTTCCTCTGCTGACATTAATAATGTTCCCTTAACCACGTGAGGGCAGAGTATTATCTCGGCTCCACATGGAGCCAATGTTGGGAAGTTATAACCTGTTTCCTCAGCCTATTGTTTTCCCCTACTTGAGGGTCATACCGGCTGACAAGGTGGGGTCAGAATGTGTGCTACATACAGGATGAGGGGCATGGTTTTTGAGAATGAGGGCTGAGGCTTTCCCCAAGGTAGAGGGATTACTTTACATTGCTCTGGGCAGAGTAAGAGAAGGGAGTCAAAGGTGTGAGGACCTGTGTAAACACATTAGTCGCTCTCGTCTGGAGAATGTAAGGTGGCCTTGGCCATGAGATCTCTTTGTTAGCAGTCGCACGACAGTGGAGATCACTAAGGTTGCCTCATACTATTGTATTCACCAACACTCTGGGCCTTATTCTGATCTGTGCTCACCTCACCCTTCTCCTCACTCAGCACCCACCCCCCACAGCAACACACAGACACACACTCACACACCTAAACTGTCCCCTCACTCAGCACCCACCCCCCACACAAACACACACACACTCTCTCACACACACACGCACACCTCATCCTTCCCCTCACTCAGCACCCACCCCCCAACCAACACACATACACACTCACACACGCTCACACGCACACCTCAACCTTCCTCTCAGCACCCACCCCCACACTAACACACACACACACTCACACATATCCTTCCCCTCACTCAGCACCCACCCCCCACACCAACACACACACACACTCACACACCTCAACTTTCCCCTCACTCAGCACCCACCTCCCACACAAACACACACACATACACACCTCATCCTTCCCCTCACTCAGCACCCACCCCCCTCACCAACACACACACACTCACACATGCTCACACGCACACCTCAACCTTCCCCTCACTCAGCACCCACCCCCACCAACACACACACACGCTCACACACACACACACGCTCACACGCACACCTCAACCTTCCCCTCAGCTCCCACCCCCAACACACACACACTCACACACGCTCACACGCACACCTCATCCTTCCCCTCACTCAGCACCCACCCTTCTCACCAACACACACACACTCACACACTTACCTCACCGTTCTCACTCAGCACCCACCCCCACACCAACACACACACACACACATATATATAATCACACACTCACCTCACTCTTCCCCTCAGCACCCACCCCCTCACCAACACACGCACACACTCTCATACACACACACACACACACACACACTCAGCTCATCTTTCCCCTCAGCACCCACCTCCTCACTAACACACACACACACTCAACACACACACCACAGTGGGCTACAAACAATATTTGTTGATTTGGTTTACTGAATAATTAACCAACTGCAGATTACTTCCATTATATTAACTTAATGTCGTGTCTATTTGGTGTTGCTATAACAGAATACCAGAGGCTGGATAATTTATTTAAAAAAAAAAGAGACTTATTTAGCCCACATTCTTCAGGCTGGGAAGTAAAAGAAGCATGTTAGCAGCATTTCCTTGGCTTCTGGTGAGGACTTTCCATGCTGTGTCTTAAAATGCTGGAGAAGGTCAAAGGGAAAGCAGACATGTGCAAACACGCAAAACCCAAGGGGTGTCCTGGCTTTCTAACATCCCACTCTCAAGGGAACATCCCTGTGAAAACGAATCCATTTTCCCAAGAGCAAGAACTCACTCATTACCAAAAGAATGTCAGTGAGTCATTCATAAGACACCCGTCCCCATGACCCAACACCTCCCATTAGGCCCCACCTCCCAACATCACCAAATTGGTGATCACATTTCTGCTGAGTTTTAGGGAAGACAAACTCAAATTAAACCACATAATCACTTCCAGAATGTTTTCTGCGTGCAAAAATTCATCGAGGGTGCTATGATCTGAATGTTTGTGTCACTGGAAGGTTTATATGTTGAAATCCTGATTGCTAAGGTGATGGTCATAGGAGGTGGGGTCTTTGGAAGGTGATTAGGTCATGTGGGTCGAGTCCTCCCTCCATGAATGGGATTTGTTTCTATATAAAAGAGAGCACAGAGAGCCCATTTACCCCTTCTACCACCAAATCTGCAGGTGCCTTGATCTTGAACTTTCCAGCCTCCAGAATAATGAAAAATAAATTTCTGTTGCTTATAAGCTACTCAGCGTATGACATTTTGTCATAGCGGCAGAAATGGACTAAGACAGAGGGTAATACTAATTTTCAACATGATTAATTTAGGCACTATGAGTTTGTCTATTCAAAGAAAAGTAAGCTATATATAAAACTGATAACATTCATAATATATTTAAATTTTTCACAATGTTTTTTCATTATAGTAGTAAAAGTTAAACTTACTTAAAGTTATTTTCTCTCTTTTGCTTCATATGCTACTTTTCTTATTATAGTGTCTAAATTATTTATAATAATACATTATTCATCTGAAAATATCTTAGCTGAAAACTTCAACTGTAAGGAATATTACCATGATCCTACTTTGGTAAATATAGACATGTCATACATTTCTTGTAAGAATAAATTAAATATGCAGATGTTCTTCTACAGCATTTATTATTCCATGCCAGAGTTTATTGCTCCTTTATACTGCAAGAAACTTGATGGCATAGAATACATCTTAGTTTATTTTCAATCCCTTGGCCTTTTGCTTGCCTGTTGCATTGCAATGACAAATCAGTTTCTCAGGGATAAAATGCATTTCCAAAGTGATATGGTTTGGATCTGGGTCCCCACCAAATCTCATGTCAAAATGTAATCCCCACCGTTGGAGGTGGGGTCTGGTGGGAGGTGATTGGATCATGGGACCAGGTTTGTGATGAATGGTTTAGCATCATCCCACTTGGTACTGTCCTTGCAATAGTGAGTCCTAATGAGAGCTGGTCATTTAAAAGCGAGTAGTACCTCTCCCCTCTCTCACTTGCTCCTGCTCCTACTATGTAAGGCACCTGATTCCTCTTTGCCTTCCATGATCGGAAGTTTCCTGAGGCCTCCCCCAAAGCAGAAGTGCCTGTGCTTCCTGTACAGCCTGCAAAACTGTGAGCCAATTACAACTATTTTCTTTAAAAAATCACCCAGTCTCAGGGCGTTTGTTTATAGCAATGTGAGAACAGACTGAAGCAAAAAGTATACTTTGAGGGTAACCCTACTTAGGGGCATTGGCAAATACTGTTCAGAAAGTCCAAACATCCACAAACTTTAACAAAAGGGGTAGTCTAAGTGTTCTCTCCTCTCAAGCTCAGTTTTTCCATCATAGAATGGAAGATTTGGAGGATGTGATTTTTTTTTTCTAGAGATGGAGTCTCACTTTGTCACCCAAGTTGGAGTGCAGTGGCCCCATGATCTTGGCTCACTGCAACCTCCACCTCCCAGAGGTTCAAGCGATTCTCCTGCCTCAGCCTCCCAAGCAGCTGGGATTACAGGCACTTGCCACCATGCCCAGCTTTTTTTTTTTTTTTTTTTGTATTTTTAGTAGAGATGGGGTTTCACCATGTTGGCCAGGCTGGTCTCAAACTCCTGACGTCAGACGATCTGCCCGCCTCAGCCTCCCAAAGTGCTGGGATTACAGGCGTGAGCCACCGTGCCCAGCCAGAGGATGAGATCTTTAAGACCAGTTCCAACCCTGAATTTCAGTGACACTCTATATGCATTCTTTGTATGCTATGAGATAGCCATTAGGCAAAGTTCATTTTCCCTTAAACCTTACCCATGTGTCAGAGGTTCCTGAAAAGTGACATAGGTCCCTGTATCCACTTGGCACCACAAGACAACCATTATAATTGTGGGGTGCTATGGCCCTGTTCAGTCTCCACCACAGCTACCTGGAGAAGTTATTTCCACACCGTCCTGGCCAAACAAATCAGTCAGCCATTTCTGAGGGAGGCCAACCCCTGTAGTGTATCTCTGCCAGGCAGGCAGGCAGATGCCACCTTCTGACAAGGAGCTCCTGAGGTTTAGTAAGAGGAACTCCAGCTTCCAGACTCCTTGTTTTTGCCACTGTTCCCTTTCCTGCTCAGTCAAGTTTTCCTGCATGCCCTGCTCATGACCTAGAGGCAGGTCTCTTTCTTTGCCTTTTGCTTTTTGCTTCTGGATTATACTAATTTAATCTCATGAAGCTGATTTTTGCATTCAATTACTGTTTCTGTGCACCCTCAGCAATTATAACTCAGTTGTTCATTCAGAGAAGTCTTTGGGTTCTAACAGGCACCCCATGACTATTCAGAGCACAGGGAGACAGATATTCTAGACAGGCCCCAGCCCTATTCTAAAGAAAGGATGCATACATTTACAGATTGAAGGAGGGCAGACTGCATTTTACTGGTCCCTGCCTCTGACATATAAAATAAAAGAAGGTTCCTCATCTAACAGACCACATGGTAACTTTACAGGTATTATCTGTGAAGCTCTGTCCTTTCTTGCGGCATCCACCACACTGGAGCACAGATTTGCATCCTACATATGTCCTCTATCAAGGAGGTGGGGCTCGTTAATACTCAGTAATGTCTTATGAGGCTTTTTCTAAAGGCCTTCCATATCCTAGAAATTAGCAGAGGCAAATCTGCTTCTCATTATCCTGACAGTCAATCATTTATATCTTCTAACTTGGGTGAGAGTAGAATGCAAAAGAAAGTGAGCCATTTGGCATGTTATTAGCACTTCTCTGGAGTCAGTTAGGTCACTGCTCCTGTTTCCCCTATCCCACTGAACTGTCCCCTTTCCTGGGTAGCAAATTTAACTCACGTTGTTGAATTACTGACATTTTGACTATCAATATAGATGGTGCTATGGTTTGAAGATGGTTTGTCCTCACCAAAACTCTCGTTGAGGCTTTGTCCCTGATGTAACTATGTTGAGAGATGGTGGGATCTTTACTGGGTGTTTGTGTCACAAGGGATTGGCCCTCATGAAGGGATAAATGCAGTCTCATGGTAGTGAGTCAGTTTCTACTCTGTGAGAATGAATTAGTTCTTGAGATAAAGATGACAGTTGTTATAAGGCAAGGTTTCCTCTCATGTTTGATTATTGCACGTGCCCACTTCCTCTTACTTGTCCTCCACATTATAACACAGCATGAAGCCCTCACCAAAAGCTGACCAGTTGTAGCTGCCCAATCTTGGGACTCCCAGCCTCCAGAATTATGAGTCAAATAAACTTCTTTCCTTAACAATTTACCCACTCTCAGGTATTCTGTTACAGCAAAAGAAAACAGATTAAGACTTAAAGAAACAAACCCCGGAATCCACCCCTCTGCAACCCAAATGGTCTTTCTCAAATGAGTTTCATTATATGAGCTCCATTTTCTTCCAATTCTCCCAGTATCCTTAGGGGTTTCCCCTGTTCATCTACACATTCAACAATCAGTCTAGCAACATGTATGTAGAGCATTATTGGATGAGGATGACTTTCTCAAAAAAAGAATCTGCCATTAAATAAAACCACTTATTTTACATATTAGAAAATGTTCTTTATTATAGAATGGCTTTCTTTAAATTATGTACACACAAGATTGCACACAAACTTTTCTGTGAGCTGTATGTGTATATTTATGTGTTTGTATGTGTTTGTGTGTGTGTGTGTGAGAGAGAGAGAGAGAGAGAAAGAGAGAGGTTGGGGGAGTGGGAGAGCTTTGTAGAAGCTGCTTCCTCCACTGAGTTAGCACAGAGTTTAGGGAGGATTTTTGCATAAGGAGTGCAAGGTCGTGTAGAAAAGAAGAAATACAGACCTAGCTTCTAGCTTTTTTCAGACTCAAAGGTAGAGAGACAGTATGAGGTAGATCAAGATCAATGACATCTTTGGAAAATAAAGTTACTCTGAGGATGTCCAACTGGCCCCTGCACTGACATAAGGGCAGAAGAGTGGAAGGTTGATTTGGAACGTTGGGTTGGGTCCTGAAGTCTGAGATGCTGGAAGCTGTCCTATTGTAGCCCTCTGTGCTGGCTGGTATCCAGGAGGGATGGCAATGTGAATGGTACCTCAGGAGCCTGATCAGAATGGGTTCAGTGATCTGACCTGACTTACTCAACCCTAGAATTGTTGGATCATTAGCCCCATCCCTCACACACACACACACACACACATCTTGGAGAAGCACCTCAGTGAGGGCAAGGATCTGCAGGAGTTTTACCAATACCAGCCTCGCGAGCCTCAGGGCTTTAAATGTGAGCCTTGCTGATAGTGCTGCTTCAGCACAGGGACCTGACAGCATCTATGTGGTGAAGGGAGGCCATGTTTATTTGGGAGTTCAATACATTGATTAAGCATGATCCTAGAAAGGAGAAGCCAATTCATTTTAAAGAATCACAGTGGCCTGGGAAACTGCCCACTCTGATGTGCGGAGATGGCATGAGAAAAATGTCAGCCTGGCCACATCACTGCAGACATAGATGGTCCTGCCCTTGACTCTTTGGCCCACAGAACATTTCTTTATTAGGATCACTCGTTAAGGAAAAGTGTAGTCTCTGAAGAGGGCAACTCCTTATGGCACTTACCCTGATGGCATTAACACTCTTTCTGAAGGCATTTGTGTCATCCCACAGTCCAAAAATGCATGCTCTTAAATTATGCCCTCCGTAAAATGAGAAACAAGCACGACTCCCGTGTCAAACACTGGTATAATCACTTGTGAATTTCTGGAAAACCAAGTGACAGGGACCTGAGAGATTGGAATTTATTCTTATATGGGCATGTGGGAACCTGAGAATTACTCCCTGGGATACTGTTTCATGGACCCATTATTAATCAATAAAATAAATAGCTGATTTTTCATCAGAAACCATGGAGGTTAGAAGACAGTAGGGTGATACATTTAAAGTGTCAAAAGAAAACTAAAACTGCCAACCAAGAATTCTACATCCAGTAAAACTATCCTCAAAAATGAAGGAGAAATAGACATTTCTAGGTGGACAAAAGCTGACAGAGTTTGTTGCTAGTATTATAAAGGATTGTGTTTCTATATGCTAGCAAACTGTCTGAAAAGAAAATTAAGAAGGCAATCCTATTTATAAAAATACTGAAAAGGAATAAAATACTGAGCAATAAGTTTAACAAAGGAGGTGAAAGATTTGTACAGTAAAAACTAAAATACATTGATGAAAGAAATTAAAGAAGATACAAATAAAATACATCCTATGTTCATAGATTGGAAGACTTGATATTGTTAAAATTTCCATACTACCCAAACTGATCTACAGATTTAATATTATTTCCATAAAAATCCCAATGCCATTTTTTTACAGATATAGAAAAAAATCCTAAAATTCATGTGGAGCAGCAAAAGACCCAGAACAGCCAAAACAATCTTGAGAAACAGAACAAAGCAGGAGGCATCACACTTCCTGCTTTTAAAGTATGTTATAAAGCTACAGTAGGCATTATTATCTTATTACCCACTAGGTATTTTTAGATATTATCACCTATTAATAGGTATTATTAATATTTTAATAGGTCTTATTAGTAGGTAACATCTAATATTAATTATTGCATATTAATATTAATTATTACATATTATTACCTAACATCTCAAATGGTAAATTTGAAGGTCCCAGTTGTATTAGTTTACTATAACAAATCACCACAGATTAGTACCTTCAAATAATACACATGTGTTATAGTGTTGTAGGTCAGAAGTCTGAGGTGAGTCTCTGGGACTAAAATAAAGATAAAGGTAATGTTGCATTTTTCTCTGGAGGATCTAGGAGAGAGTTAATTTCTCTGCCTTTTTCATCTTCCAGAGGCTGACTGCATCCCTTGGTTCATGACCCCGTTCCTCCATCTTCAGAGCCAGCAATGGAGACACAAGCTCTTCTCACATCACATCACTCTCTGCTGTCTCCTCTTCCACTTTTAAGACTCTTGTGATTATATTGGGCCCAACCCAGGATATTCTTGTTATTTTAAAGTTAATTTCATTTGCTACTTTACCTAAGATATTCACAGGTTCCAGAGAGTAAAATATGGACATCTTTGGAGGCAGAGGCATATATTATTCTGCCTATACCATTTAAGCACTTTGTACCAGCCATTGGATTAGATATTGGGTTTACAAAGAGGAATAAATCTCAGGGGCTTCCCATTTTATGATATAAGCAAAAAATAAAATGATGCAGGGCAATGACAGAAATAATCACAGCATAGTATCAAAGTATCCATCCCAGCTTCTGTTGGAGGTGGGTGGTATAGTAGAAGGTTTTCTGAAAGAGGAGATATCTGGAATTAATTCCTAGGATTAATAAGTATCCACTGGGTAAAGAATAGGGCCTGCAAGTCACCCATTTCTCTAATGTGCCCCAAACATGGCAAATGTCCTTCCTCTATAACTCGGCTGATAAAGTCTCCTATAATTACAAGGCTGATGGCAGCTAAATGAGAACTTATTTAACATTTATTGATTTGCCAAATATATACTGAGGACCTATAATATGTGAGAACATATGCGGGCCATCAAAGCTGCAACAAGACAGAACATACAAGGTCTCTACATTTGTGGTGCTTATGGACCTGCAGAGGAAGCATGGAAGCATTCACCTGACAAACTACTTAGGAACTAGGCTTGTGAATCTGTCCAGAGAGGTGATGCTTTTCAGATCCCAAGTCTTACAGGAAGAGAACAAATCTCCCATCTCCCCGAATTCCTGATGAACAACAGATGCTACCCCTGAAGTTTGTCATCACAAACCAAAGCAAGAGAAAGTTCACAGCTCACTGACTTGGGTGTAGTTCTGGCTGAACAGCTCCCACACCTGTGACAGAGCTGCTGCCAACCACAGAAACCACTGCTTCACCCTGTTCATGACCCCAGGTCCTCCCATGGCACCACCCTCGAAAGTGGCCAGCTACTGGCCCTGCTTCTAATTCTGGAACTATTTTCTGTTCCAGGATCGTGGAGTTTTACAGGATCTCATGGGTTGTCACAGAAGCCTGGACATCATTTGCATGCTGTTTCCATTGGAAAATCCTCACGTATGACTTCTAACTGAATTATAATAATATTCTACAACATAACCATCCACAGGTTAGGGAAGGCCTGTAGGGACTTCAAGTACATTTCCTATAGAAAAAGCAAGTTCCAAAGAAGAGATATAATGAGAATAATATGAAAAATAATCACTTAAATGTAATAAAAGCTTTACGGTTTAAGATGAATATTTGGATTTTTCAAATCATTTGATCCTTACAGCCATCTTGCAAGGTGGGTATCATTTTTAGCTCCATTTGAAAGGTGAGAATCCTTAGGCACAGAGCGATGAAGTGACTAGGTCCAGATGATACTGCTGAGATTCAGGCACTTTACCCCAAAACCTTGCTTTTACCTCTCTGCTGTGAGAGAACATACAGCCACTTTCCTCCTCCGCACAAAGGAGCTCTTTCCAGCCTTTGTGGTCACCATCAGAGAAGTGGCAGTGGGGCAACTCATTCCCTGAGATGTCAGTGTCATTCTAGAATTGCAGCTTTTTGAAGCCCAATTTTGTTTCATCTGCTCAGTGAAGTCCTCTCCAGGCCCTCACCATCACAGACATTCATTCATGTCAAAGCCTTGGTCTCTTTGTTGCGGCCATTGTTTACACATTTGTGGGCAACAGACTTGCCTTTCCAATGGAATTCTTTTCATGAAGATGGTAGCCACAGTTGCCTTTGTTCATTGCTGGATCCTTAGGACCTCACCTAGTACTAGAACACTGTAGGCATTTAATACTTAATGTATAAAGAAATGATCTCTTTGAAGACAAAGTCATATTTTACGAACATTGGTTGTTTCCCAAGACCTAGGATAGTTCAGTGTTATTCACACTGGGAAGTTGCTGTTGACTGTTTCAAATGAGTGAATTAATGAATGAGGAGTGAGTGAATGGATAAATGAAAGTATAAGTGACTGAATCTATGAATAAATGTGGGAATGAAAAAGTGAACAAAATAAGCATGCAACTTCTGTTGGGATTGAGAATTGAGCTGTGAGTATAGTCCATGAGCAGGTGTTTGCAAGGAGAAGCGAATTCACCAGAATTCAGTCCTAATCAGGCCTCTTATTATGTCCTGTGAGACCCTTAATCATCTAGTATTCTGGAATTTCATGATTCAAACTTGTGTTATGGTAGAAATTCTACCTAAAAATGAAGGACATATTCTATCTGTATATTAAAGGAACCTACAAGTTCTTCATCTGAAAACTATACCTAAGCTCCCTTTAATCAAGTTTGAACATTATTCAGGTGACTGCATTACTTTTATTTACTTATAATCAAGTACCAAAGCTCTTGCAGCAAGCAGGATGGCAAATGGAAATAACAGGCACTTTTTTACATGTTCCTGCTCAAATCCAGTTCTGCCACTTATTAGCTGGGTGACCTTGGATGAGTTACTTAACCTCACTAAATCCCAATATCTTCGCTGTACAATCAACTCAAAGCTGTCAGAGTCACAGAATCATAATGAAGAATAAATGACTGAATATATGTAAACCACTAGGCATAAAGTCTGGGAAAGAATAGGTACTAAGCGAGTCTTTGCATCAATAGCCTGAACATCTATGTTGCCACACTACTATTTGCTTGATATGATTCTTCTTATTGGGAATTAGCCTATTCCCAATATTCAGTTCTAAATGTCCTTATAATACACGGGTAGCATTACAAATTGTGTGTGTGTGTGTGTGTGTGTGTGTGTGTGTGTGTGTGTGTGTGTTCAACTATTGAACTGTGGCCTTTAAGGCACAGAAACAAGCTGACTGTGGGGGTTTCCACTGAGTTCATGGGAGGTGAGCAGGAGGGGAGAGATAGCATCAGTAAATTTTCATATTTAGGATCCTGCTCTCTCCTGTGAAACTTGGGCTCTACCTCTGAGGAAGCAAAAGCTTTTCCACAGCAATGCTGCACAGTTAATGCTGATTAATTACAGCAGAATATTTTAGAAATATTAGTTGCTATGTATTATATTTATTAAAAAAACACATTCATACTAACAAGCAAGTCGCTGCTAAATGTGTAAGTTCACTTTTCTCCACCACAGGCCTTTAATTTGTTCTGAACACAAAGAGAGCAATGTCTTGGCAGATTTAGGAATTGAGAGTCCACTTTTCTTGCTGGTTGTTGGAATTAACTTGAGCAAGACCTTTCCCATCTAGAGAATTCAGGGAGTTAGAACCATAAGATATGCAGCCTTTTCTACTTCTCGATTTGTGAGAGTCTAGAACACCCAGGTCCCTGCTGTGTTTCTGCTCTTAGACCTTGAAGCCTTCCAGAGTAAAATTCCTAAATTGGCACAGACGAACCTTTTTGGCATCAAATGGCTCTTATGAAACAGCACACTGATGAATTAAATGAAATGATTCAGAAAAACACCGATTAAATTTCCCTTTAAATACTCAGGGGTTTAGAAATTAAGCAAAACTGCTTGGCACTATGCAGTCTGAATTTTAACAAACCCAAAATGTTTGAAAAATTATTCAAGATGTTTTGACAGAGAATGCCACTATGTTCATCTTTTTTTCCCTGACATCTGTTTTCATCCATAAAAGAGAAAACAGAATTGGGGTGACTAGCTGGTATCCCAGAAAGGACTTTCTCCTATCAAATGGAATAATCCACAGATCTCCTTCTAATACTCACTGGCTTTCTTGTTCTGTTGAAAAGTGATAGAGCTGGTTTGCTTGATTTCACAATTGAAGCAAAATAAAACTGAGTAACTATGAATAGCACAAAGTGATGACCCTAAACACTGAGGTCATTATTTTTAAAGGAAAAAAAAATAATTCCAATTACATGAATTGAATGTCTAATGTTGCCTGGCCTGAGCAGTAAATGCAATAAATGTGAAATACTCCCTCCTGCCTTCAGCCTACTGCCCCCAACATCACCACCAGCAGTCTGGGCCCCTGACCCTCACTCTCCTTCCCAAGGAGGGTTGTGCCATTTGGCAGGAAATAGAAAGACTCCTGAGAGAGCATGTGGTTGAGTAAAAAGAGTTCAGAATGAAGACTCAGAGGTCTCTGGGCTTCAGCTCCAAACCACCACTGCCTGGCTGGATTACCAGGAACAAGTCAGGTTTCATCCAGAAGGTGGCTGCCCTCAGTGACCCCTCCTAAAAAGTGCACAGGATTGGCAATCTCCAAGATAAGTCACCTCCAGTTCTGGAGCATTCTAAGATACTGTCAGGTTATGTTAATTGTACTTTCACAGATGGAGAGTATAGTTTTAAAACTTATACTGATAGACAAATGAGTCACTGATTTTCTAGTTTAATATAACTTTCCAAACAAATATTATCCCCTCACCCAAGTGAGAAACATATCCATGAGTGTATACACACATATCTATCATCAATCAATCTATCTATGTCTTTCTTCTCCATGGAACTATTGCTGATATCACTCATCTCATTTATCCAACTATTGAATTTTCTCATCTTACAATTTACAAAGTGTATTAGTTATCTTATCTTCTTCTCACAACTCTTAAATGGATCAATTAACTCTGTCTTCAAATAATGCTCAAGGAAACTGGTACTTCTCAAGGTGAATTCCCTAAGGTGATATAACTGATAAGTGGCAGGGCTGGGGCTGAGCCTAGGTCTCCTGATATTGGTCTTAAAACATTTTCCTTATAACTTGGGCTGGACTCATTCAATCATGGTCACAGTCTCTGAGGCTGCAAAGGGATATAAAAGGCCATATCTTTGGAGCCCTGGAGCCCTGGAGCAGCAGCAAGCCAGTAGGCTCTTTCCTGTGGTTTTTGTGACCCAGAGCCATTTGGATAATTACCAGGCTGAGATCGGTGAGGCGCAGCCATTCTTTGGCAACTCGGTAAAACAATGCAAGAGAAACAGTTTCCATTGTCTACTCCCAATTCCCCAAGCATGTCAGCAATGAAACTGGGCTGGTTCAGGGTTTCTCATGGCAATCACAGTAGATTTCAAGACTTAAAAGCCAAGTTCATGCTAGAGAAATGAGAAGCCACAACTTTTCACCCTTGCCATTTTATATGCTCTGTAAACTCCCTGTAACTGTGAAATCGGGAAGCTGTAAGGCACCCAAGAGACATCACTGAGCTAGCACTGGTGTTTCACAGCACATGGAGACTGATAACAAAGCCATGGAGATGAATATGCTGTAATAATGATTACAAACAGTCACCTTATAGATCAGATATTTATCTATTTATCATCAGTTATAGTCCAGAAAACCCTTGTATATTTGTTATATCACGTGGTCCTTCAAATAATCCTGTGAGGGAGAAAGGATAAGAATTTTCTTCCGACTTTACAGATGAGGAAGATGAGAATTGCAGAGTCTTGGGAAATGGTACCAACCCAGTCGCTTGGACTGGCAAGCATCCTTTCACCTCATCTCCCTCACTTGTCACAGCTGATCCATCACTGACTCCTTGCCCTCCCTCCACCAAAGTATGTATAAAATCCATCCACCTGTCTGTGTATTCCCTGCTACAGAACTAGTCAAAAGCCCATCTGCCCCTCTCTGACCCTATTGCAGCAATGTCCTAATTGGTCTCTCTGTGTTTTTCCCTGCTTTCTGAAATTCAGATGGAATCTAGGGTCCCTGGGTGGTGCTACACTGATCTCAGTGGGTATCTAGACTCTCAATAGAACCTGCCTGCCTTCCCCACTGCTCCCTTCTCTTCAGCTCACTCTCACATCTCTTCTCTTTGCTTTCTGTGCTCCAATTACATTGGACTTCTTTCAATTCTCAAACTTCCTGTGCTGTCTCCTGCCTTAAGGCCTTTCCACATGTCATTCTCTCTGTTGAAATGTCTTTCCTTGCCCCCTCCCCTACTCGCTCCCATTCCTCTTTGCCATAACTAGGTATCTTTCTGTCCTATTTTAATATTACTTTCTCTCTCATTTCCCTCTCACAAAATTGTAACTTGTATATAGCCCAGATCTTATTCAGAGTCTGACATGCATGCAATAGTGCTTAAATAGTATAATTTTTTCAGTGAATAAGAAAATGAATTAAGTCTCAGCAAAGGTCCAAATCCCAGGTCTTTACACCATCAGTTTAAGTTTTGCTCCAGCAAACATCTATTGATTTAAAATAACTGAATAGTACCTCTTGATTTAAAATTGCCAGGTGCCCTGATGGTCCATAAACACAGGCCAGCTTTCCACCTTTCTTTCCATACAGAGAAGCTTCTCTGGATTCCTTAGTCTTTTGCCCTAAAGAAATTGGCCTATATTCCAGAAAAGAAATGAGTAACCACTTTTCCTTATTCCTTGAGTCATGAACCAGTCAAAAGAAGCCAACTTTGTGGCCATTCCTCAAGCCAAAATTTCATTCAGCAAGGGGCTCTCTGAATATTGAGTATTTAGAACCCCAAAGTTCCTGGGCCATTAATGTTTCCTGATGCACCTTTTATAAAATGTGGGAATATAGGGAGATTTATGAGTTGCAGCAGCATCAGGGCTCTAAGTCATGGACATTCTGAACACCCAACTGGCTGAGCAGGGAGGACCCCAGCTCCCAGGCTGTTGCATGTGTCAGGACATTGAGCAGCAGACACTGCCATGGCAGAGCAGCCAGAGGCTCTGATTCAAAGCTGAGTCCATCTGTCCATCTAAGAGAATCTACGTCATCAGCCAAAGGTTAGCAGAATCTAGTCGCAAATCACTCAGTTTAATTCAGGGTATCTCAAATTCAGTGCTATTGATATTTTATACTGGATAATTCTTTCCTTTAGGGGGGCTACTCTGTGTACTGCAGGATGTTTAACAGCATCCTTGGCCCCTACCCACTAGATGCCAATAGTGAACCCTGTCCCCTGCCCCTCCATATGTGACAACATAAATGTCTCCAAACATTGTCAAGTTTTTTGGGGAGAAGGGGAATGATAATATCCTTTGGTTGTGAAGCACTGCTTTAATAGGACTTAAAACCTTGGGCAAGTTACTTAATGCATTTTTGTTTGACGAATTTTCACTCTTGTTGCCCAGGCTGGAGTGCAGTGGCACGATCTTGGCTCATTGCAACCTCCACCTCCTGGGTTCAAGCAATTCTCCTGCCTCAGTCTCCTGAGTAGCTGGGATCACAGGTGCGCACCACCATGCTTGGCCAATTTTTGTATTTTTTTAGTAGAGACGGGGTTTCACCATGTTGGCTAGGCTGGTCTCAAACTCCTGATCTCAGATGATCTGCCCAACTTGGCCTCCCAAAGTGCTGGGATTACAGGAATGTACCTAATGCATCTTATCTAATTTTTCTTATCAGGCAAAATAATAGAAAACAAAAGCATTAATCTATTTGTTAGAACTAATGGAAATATATGTGCGGTGTCTAGCCTAGGACTAGTGCAAAGTGGGTGCTCAGAAAATCTGGCTGAGTAAACTAATTCTTGCTTTGGGGAAAAAAAATAATTTGAGACTGTAAGACGAGAAGAAATGCCAGAGTCAGCTCCTGTGACTTCATACTGGAAACCTGCTGCCCCCCAAGTCCCATCTGCAATGACAGAAACTCCTATGAGGAAAGGAGTGTGAGCACATTTTGCTGAAGCTAAAGGATTTCACACATCCAGTTTATTTTGCAACAGAATCACATCTCTTTCAAGGCATTCTTTCTACCTGGCCTCCAGAAGACATTATTTGTATGTGTGGGCTGTTTGTTGGTGAGGGCAGCTGCTGTGGACAGTGTATTAGGAGGAGCTGTTCCCAAAGGAGGTCCAAGGTGGGTTTCATCGCAGAAAGGTAGCAATGCAAACAGAGGGGCAGCATGGGTAATATAGAAAGGTAAATGGCAGAGGCTTCAGAGGGAAGCAGAGTTGAGGTCAGAACCTCAGCCCTGCTCCTTGCTGTGTGAGCCTCATCATTCAACCACCTGAGCTTTGCGGTATTCATCCCAGGGATGTTGTCAGGAAATGGAATCATGCCTCAGGATTCAGCACAGTGCTGGAATCCAGCAATCACCTAATGAATGTAAGCATTAATAATAGCTACTATTCCTACATTAACTTTTACTGTTATTGTTTTATTGATATTATCACCATCATCATTATTGGCCAGAGTGGTTTTAAGTGCATTTCCTTTACTAAGTTCAAATCTGCTACCTCCTGGAGGCAGCAGGATCCATCTCCTTGATTCTGAAGGCTGTGAAACAGGCAGGCTGTTTTAGCCCACTTCTCTTTGAGAAGGGCTTGAGGCCCGTTTGGGGTAAAAATCTGTGTAGTTTCTCATCCCTGGACTTCAAAGTGGCTTTATCTCTCTTGGCAGGTTAGGCTACCAGGAATACTGAACATATTTCTGTCACACCCATTGCCAAGGTTGCAATTTGAGAAAACAAATAGGGATTTACAGATAGCAGCTTTCTTCTTCTTCTATTGATAGCCTGAGATAATTCATGGCTAGGTTTGGACAAATGCAAAAATGTGCATTTAGTTTGGATTTGGATTCATTCCTCATGAATATTAGTCATCTCAGCCCAAAATGCAAGCATTTCTCTGTTTCAACAGATGGGAAGATGTACTGTGAAATCATACTGTAGCACAGGGAGAAAACAAGAAGGCTGAAATTAAATTTAAGCATAAGTCTTGGCACAGTGGGATGAAGTGTGCATCGTCATATATTTCCCTACAAAATAAGGAATGTGCTTTTAGGTGTGGTTTACATTCTTGTAAAAACAATGGGATGGGAATATTTATCAACCATGTTTGCTTGCTGATTTAACTCCCTATAGGAGTGTTTTTATGCAGATAACTCTTCATGCAGAATTTCCTTTTACTGAATGCTCAAATCAGAGACTGGCTCAGAATCTGTCATGTTCTATTGATAATGATGAAAATATGATTCTGAGGCCCTGTTACTTTCCTGGTCCTCTTCTGCTTGTTGGCATTCCATGGCCTTTGGAGGTCACTTTTGGTGATTCCCACTATCATGGCAGAGACCAGACCAGTATTGGACAGCTGGTGGCCCTGGGGAAAGGAGGTGAAAGAAATGGGAGAGAAATATGAAAAAAAAATTTAAGAAAGAAAATGAAAGAAAGAATGAAAGAATTAAAGTGGGAGTACTTCAAGTTCATGTTTGTTCTGTTCCATCACACCGATTAATGGAATTTAATAAAATGCACGTATTAATTCCATTGATAAGTTTTTGTTAACTGTCTACTTTGTATCAGACACTGTGATAGGTACTGGGGTAAAAGTAAACTGTTATGATAACAAATCCAGAATCCACCTAACATTGAATAGATAAATACACAACTCTAGTTCCCATATTTTTTCTGAAGATTTTCATTAACTGGTGTGTCAATATGACAATAGCACAGTAATTCCTGCCCTCTAAAAATAAACAAAAGGCCATACAAGACATTGAAGTTCCTTTTATATCAAAGAATGACTTTTACCATAGTTTGGTTTAATGTTTTCCTATTAACATTGGAATTCACTGAATGCAAGCAAATCCGATGGACTATATCTAATAAGTTCTTAAGATAATGTTATTGATTATCTAGGAATTCTCATTGACTTTTCAGTGACAAAATACAGCTTCTCGAAAGTAATTCTGGTTAGAGATCACAAGAAAATTTTTCCAGAATAATAAATATACAGAACATTAGCCTTGTAATAGATTGTAGAGATTTGTTTTTTCTGAACACCACCTTCATTTATGGATGAGACAAATACAGTAACTGAAAGAGTCACTAAGGAATGATTTTATTGCAAGTATTTTTAAAAGGTAGATCAAACACAGCTAAATTTTGTCAAATACCTGTTATGTTCCCAGTTTAGTCACAGGCACATTTATAATACAATCCCTTTTAATCCTACTTAGGATACTGGGAGGCAAATACAATGTTTTCCATTTAACAGGTGAGAAAACAGAAGCTCAGAGAACATAAGTCCCTCATCCTGGGTCACACAGTTAATCTCCAGAATTCAAGTGAGAAGTTTCACTATCTGTTGTCGTAGTTAGTAAGAAATTGTACTACCTAAATTCTTTGAGTTACTTGTATATTTAATGAAAAATCTTTTATGAAACTATTTTGCCACTTAGCCTTTTATGCTAGAAATAGAATTGAGAAGATTTTTGCTATTTATATGATGTTTTAATTGAGAAATTCAAATATCGTTGGGAATAAAGTATCTTTATACTGGTAAAAAAAAAAAACATAAATGAAATAAAATATCAGATTGTACTTATTTATCAGGTTCCCAGGTTCTATATCAAATCATTGGCTAGATTGATTGCATAGTATTTGCTAATTCTTTTTAAAATATATTTTTAAATTCTTAAAAATAAATATTGAATAATAACTATAAAAAAAAAAGATGTCAGGGAAAACAGGAGTGAAAACAAGGTCACTTTTATAGCCTTTTAAAGAGGAAACTCAAAGCTTTTATAGCCCCAGCTTAGCTCTAACTGGGTGGGTAATTAGTCTCTATAACATGGTCTCACTATGCAGATACATGTGTGGAGTAAAACAGTTGTGCCCAGATGACTCTCCTCCACTCCAAGGCTGCTGTCTCAAAATTACTGGAGGTGATCATTTAAATATAGGTTCCTATTTCTGACCTCACAGATTTCAGCAATTTTGGAATGGCTCAAAAATCTTTATTTTATTTATAGCTCCTTCTGATATTCTGCTATTCAGCTTTGCAAAACAATTGATTGTGTTAAGAATATTCTACTTACACAAGATACTCTGTTCAACTACGAGGTTTTTTTAATCATATTAATTGTGGAGGCTTGGGAAAATCAAGTCAAATTTCTGAACTTTATACTCCACACTATAGATGGAGGGAAACTGAACCTTAATGATATCTGGGCCACCACCCAAGGCCACACTTCACAAGAGATTGTGTGTGTAAAAGTATTTTAAATTCTAAAGTTGTTTACAATGTCTATAATGTTAGTGGCTGCGCCAGCAACTCTGTAGGTAAGGAAGTAGTTTTGAGTGTCATATCATGTACTGTCCTTGGTACCTTACCTTCTCAACCATCAATGTTCATGATTGCTTGAAACAGAAGGTACAGAACTTTCTCTCTGTTGCATCTGCAAGGTTTCCAGGTCCCTTGTCCCCAACCCATAATCTCTGGTTTACCTTTCCTTGATTTCTGACTTTGTATTTAGTGCTTGTGCTCTGATTGCCTCCTAGGGCACGGTACTTCCTCTGGTTACCTGGTTACACCCTCATGCCTTGTCTTCACTCTGCAACCTGCAAAAATGAATTAGCCCCTCCCTCTTTCTAGCGGACATCTGGTTCCTGGAATTCCATTATAGACATAAGTTCTAGTATTCTGGTTGTTTGGAAGAAACAGAGAGCAATCATTCTGCAAGTTAAATATTAGTATCTGCTATTTAAAAATAAATGAGAAAAATGAGTCTCAGTGATAATAAATAACCTTCCCAAGCTCCGCAACTACTAGGTAGAACTGGGATTTGCAGCTGGGGCAAATCCCAGTTCAGTGTGGCCCTGAATTCTGAGATTGTTCTACTAAATGATTGTAGCTCCCGAGGCTCCCTGGAAAATGGAAACTTCAGAGAAGAAAGGATAAGACAAAGACTTACATCTTATTTTACTTTGCCACACATATTGATCTACTTCAGCAGTAGATGGATTACACTCTGCCTTTGAGGACCATCCTCATTTTGAGGAGTACTTTCAGTTGCTCAGATAAATTTTCTCCGCTCTAGTCTATGTGGTCTTTGCTCCTGAAGGGAAGACCCATTTTTCTGTTTACCACCAATTTCACAGACCACAGAATTCACCTAAAATAATTTGTCTGTGCTTTACCTATTTTTTTTCTAAGTCAACCTTTTGCTGCTCTTCTAAAAGTAGAGTGTTCTCGGGCCCAGGAATCTGAAGACAAAGGTTAAGAGTAATATGAATCATTTTCTTTTCTTTTATATCACTTTTTTATAGTTACTGTGTGAATCTTTGGTTATGCCTATCACTTGTATTTTCCTATTAGTTTATCCCCAAAGCTTAGGACAGAGCCTGGGATAAAATACTTGTTCAGTCAATAAATAAAGAGATTCTTTAAATTTTTTGTATCAACAATACAATTATGAGGCAGGTCAAGTTAGGAGAGTATGCTGGAAAACTCTTTGTCATATGCTATCTGGTTCAGTTGAACAAAGCGGTGGTTTCTAAGTGTAGCCCATTGGCCACAGTGACCAAACAGAAAATATTGCAGGGCTCTCACTTTTTACCAGGCTCTCTGCTTCGTGTTAAGGGAAGACAGCATCAATTAAATAAGGTATTTACAGGGCACATATATCACTGGTTATGAGATTAGATTGTACTTAAAGACCACCCACCCCAGAAGCTCTGTGCATTGGGTTTCAGCTCATAAGTAGGGTGGTTGGGTAATGGGGGAGACTTGGAATTAGGAGGTCAGAGGGAGTAGACATCAATATTAACTAGAGTGGCTATGAAAGGCTTTGCACCCAGAATAAGTAAGGGAAGAATTGGTGATAAGAATATGCTTGGCTTACAGCAAGAAAAAAACAAAACAAAACAAAACAAAAACCTGTCTTGCTACATGATGACTTTTGGTGAAAAACAAAACAAAACAAACAAAACTGTGAGATACCATTGAGGCACAAACCGAGAACTGAGGCTGAATTGTGAAAAGTGATTTCGGTTTTGTTTTCTTATGCCAGGCTAGAGTTCTGACCTTTGGAGCTCAAACTTAATTATTCTTTCCCCTAAGGAGAGGTCCTCATTGGCTTATTGTAGTGGGAGCAAAATTGATCTAACCATACATAACTTTTCCTGTGTTTAAAAGGCCTTTATGTTTCTTTCAACTCCTTAAATTTTCAAAGGGAGGGGAAAAAGCATGTTTAGTTGCTTAATATTTCTGTATATCTTAAAGGACCCTTCATATTTATCATCAGAGACACACCAAAGCACATTACAAGTAATGCAAGCCATCTGGTGCTTTGCAGGCCAAAATCAGTTGATGGTTTAAGAGTAAAAACCATCCTTTTGTTAACATTTTTCTGGAGCACATCACCAAAGAATGCATAGCCTCTCTCTGCATTTTTCAGAAAAGAACTGTCATCTTAGCTCCTTTCTTCGGGTTTCTAAGTACTTCTAGGATAGGCAGGATTGATCTGATTTCTTTTGATAACTCTTTCAAACCTGTCTAAATCACCTTCTGAATATCAGTGAAATGGTTTAAAATGTGTACTGTGGATCTCCAGGTCTACCCACTTAAATCGTATCTAATAAACTTGCGTAAGGTTAGCAAAACCTCCTTATCTGGGACATAGGCTAACCTGTGTCCTTTGGTCTAAGTCAAGCACTGGTGATTGGTAAAGTAACTCAGAATGACTACTAGAGATTTGGCATTTTCACTGATTCCTTCTATTTCAAAATTCTGATTGAGTCTCAATTCATGGATCTCATTCATTGAGAATGCTCACTAAAATTCAATAGAGACCTAAAGAATAAATGCCCTGTGTATCCAGCCACTTACCTACTCCCCAAAATCTCCATGCTCCTTCCTATATCTACATATTTACATGTATTGCCCCCAAGTAATTCAAGGCCCATCCAAAAGACTAGCTCCTTCAAAAACTCTATTTGATCCTACTTCACCACTCCCCTCCACCCTACTCTGGCTAGTTTATTTTGAATTACACATAGTTTTATTAAATTATATTATCAGACTGTGAGCTGTTTAAAAGGCCAGAACTATGCCTGATTAAATGCTACATCATCCAGCCTTGTTGCCATCATGGTAACGAGCATAATTCTGAAATGTCATTATGCCTATGCCTATGCCTAGTAAATCATAGGAAGAAAGTACATGCTTGCATAAAGAAAGATGGGTAACGAAATATATCTGAGTTGAATTTTTGTTATATACTTAGTTGTATCTTTGAAGAAAGGTATTATACAAAAGAAAAAATATTACTATCATGAATACAGCAGTTGAGTTTGGTGCATGTAAAATTTTCCCAGCAAAATACTTCTGGAGGTAAATCTTAGGTTGAAAATCTTGGATCTAAAAAGGCTTACCTCCAGCAGAACTTTGCTGGGAACATTTTACATGCACTAAACTCAATTATCTAATTTCATCTTCTCAACAATTCTGAGGAAGTGGTTACTATTCACGTATTACAGATGTGTAAACTGAAACGCAAAGTAGTTAAAATGCTGACTTGGAACTATATCAGTACTCATAAATTTAAATGCTTTGCTTTTCTCTCTGGTACAAGGAGTTAGCTGGAGAGGAAAAGGGCAAATAATATGACACAAGGTGCCAGAAAAGAACCCCTATACCATTATCTGTGCCCCTATCCTGCCCCTGATACGAGAAAACTATCAACTTTATGGAGGGAAGTAGTATGATTCTGTCTTAACCTCTAGCTTTTTCTTTGAGTTTGGGCCCTTCCTTTAAGGAGAGGGCCATGAACTCCCAGAGGTCCAAGAATTCCTCCTGCTCCTGGTCACTAGGCATGTCTTGGAGTAGGGATGATGGTGTATAAAACCCTACTGGCAAAGGAAAAAATATGACTCACGGTAACATGTTGATTTCCATTGGAGCAGCTGGAGAGAAACATGGTTTCTGCCAACATCCACTGACGTCTCTTTGTGCCAACCTCCCAAAATAGAAATCCCTGAGAGAAAACAGGAGCATCCCTCAGAAACACAAGAAGTCTGTCTGGGGTTTAGTTACATATAAAGATTATACACTGAGCATCTAGGCTTCTGCAGGCCCCGCCCTGTGCTGAATTCTCACCAGGACTCCCTTCTTCTGCCCTCAGTCATTCAGCAGCCAACAATGCTCTTGGTGATGGGTTTCTCTTAGAAATGCTTCCCATTCTAGAGAAATAAAGTACCACAAGCATGAAATTGACATTTTGGCAAGTAGTGCCATTTGCCACCTTTCATCTTCCCGCAGGTTTCATTTTATTTAAATTAAGTCTTTCTGGTGAACTGGGGCTATTAACCCACCAAAGTAAATAAGAACTACACACACCAAAGGTAAAACCTTAGGCAGAGACAATGGCATTGCTAGCTTATTTGCTATTCCAAGTGACATTTCCTCAGATGTTTGCCGCCCTGCTGTGCAAACATAGCTACACATGAAATAAAGTAAAAAGAAAAAAAAATTAAACAGCAGTTAGTGGTTGGATGTTATTTCCAGTTTGGAACCACTGACAGGCTAGCTATAGAAAACTCTTCCCTCTGTTATTACAAATAACAGTTTGTGGATGGTGAAAAGAAAACAGAACTGAATTTTCTTTTAACTTCAAGTACAGAAGCTAGTGTGCCTATCATTACCACCACATTACAATACATTATGGGAGAAGGTCATAGTAACTTTAGAGGGGTTATTTCCATCCATGTCTCTCATCCTCTCAAAATTGTTATACTGGGACCAGGCTGATGCCAAATGCAATGCTAAAGAAAACACACCAAGTTGAAGTGAGCTAATTAGAGAGAATAAGACAGAACCAAAAGGTCAATGCATAGGCCCCAATACTGAAACAGGTTTTTTGTTTTGTTTTGTTTTGATTTTTTTTGCCACAATGCACCCTGACAAAGCAGCGCAATAAACATCCCTGCTTCTCCACTTTCAGTTCTCCCTGTGTGCCCACTAATGATTTTCCTTTCTCCAAGGACCTATCCTTTATCTATCCTTTATCCAAGGACCATATTTGCGGTCATTGTCAATATCCATGGAATCAATCTAGCAGCAAATCAAATTCTTCCACCTCTGTCAATTCATAGAATTATGTTACTACCTCCTTGCACTGATGATGATGGTGATGATGATAGAAAATAATATCAATAAAACAGCTAATATTAGCAGTTTTCTACCTACCAGGGAATTTTCTTATTTAAACCACATAACTCTACAAGTTAGTGATTAGGTACTTTCTTTGTATTTTAGTTATGTGTCTAATTGCTGTCTTCAGATGGAATATACATGATGAAGGATCTGAGTTTACATAACCACAACCTTCAACCCTGTCCCTAGGTAGTCCCTAGTCAATGCAATGAAATAGAACAAATGTCCATGGGAGAGACTCACGTGTTTCAGAATACTTGGGGTATGGTGATCATATCTGCTCTAAATAACCAACAAAGATTACATCAAAACAATAAATATGCATAAAGAAACAAACAAAAAAGGCCAGACTATTAGAGTGTTGCTCGTTTACCTTGCGACTTGGCTGATCATCTTCAAGGGACATACAAGTAGACTAACATTTTCAAATGACTATAGCCTGATAATTTGTACTCAACTTATACACGTGGTTCCTGAATAAAGGATAATGGATAAGAATTGCCTTGAGTGAGAGACACAGTTCGAAGAGCTCATCACTATAATGTTTATCTCCATCTAATATTTTTTAGGAGTTGGAGGACATGACCTTGAGTCAAGGCCCTGAAGTTGGTATCACTCTTAGTAAATGGGCCACCACACATGATGGTACTCAGCTCCTCGTGGCCACAGCATCATTACTTAGGAGGCTTCTTCCAGTTTTTATTATTTTTTATTTTATCTATTTTGTTACTTTTTTTTAGATCATGCTCTCTCACCCAGGCTGGAGTGTAGTAGCGTGATCATGGCTTACTACAGCCTCAACCTTCCGGGCTCAAACAATCCTCCCACCTCAGCCTCCCAAGTAGCTGGGACGACAGGCACATGCCACCATGCCTAGCTAATTTTTGTATTATTATTATTATTATTATTATTTTGTAGAGATAGGGTTTCACCATGTTGTCCAGGCTGGTCCTGAACTCCTGGGCTCAAGAGCATCTTCCTCAGCCTCCCAAAGTCCTAGGATTACAGGCATAAGCCACTTGCTCTTCCAGTTTTTAGACGAAAAAGTTAACATAACTCTTTTTCTTTTTCCTCTATAAAATGGACTGAAGCAAACGAGGAGAACATAAAACAGAAACAGGTATGCTATTTTGATGAGTCTATGGAACACCTATAACTCCAAACCACAATGTATAAATAAGGGCCGCTAGGAGAAATAAAATGGTAATGACAGTAAGAGAGGATGCCAAAAAAGGCACCTAGCTTCAAAGACCTTGGGCCAGAGCCAGATGTGCATAATGATTATTTCTTTGAAAAGATACAAGAAGTATGCATAAACTCATTGTACAAGCCTCTTGGAATCCAGTTAGACTCTATGGCATACTAAGCAAACTATGGTTGGATAGCAAAGGAGCACTATCTTTGAAGAAGGAGAGGCCCATTGTGGGCAAGGTGCTAAAGAAAGAATGGCAATCGGCCAGGCGCGGTGGCTCACGCCTGTAGTCCCAGCTACTCGGGAGGCTGAGGCAGGAGAATGGCGTGAACCCGGGAGGCGGAGCTTGCAGTGAGCCGAGATCCCGCCACTGCACTCCAGCCTGGGCGACAGAGCGAGACTCCGTCTCAAAAAAAAAAAAGAAAGAATGGCAATCAAACAGCCCTGAAACTTAAAATTACCTCTGCGTGTGTGTGTGTGTGTGTGTGTGTGTGTGTGTGTGTGTGTCTCTGTCTCAGTCTCTCTCTCTCTCTCACACAAACACACAGACACACAAACACACATGCACACACACACACACACACACACACACACACATCTGAATCCTGTAACATCATGTAGTTTTACTGTAAGCAAAAGATGTTTTATTTTCTCCTGGCTTTTGTTTTTGCCCACAGGACCAACTCCATGAGTTAGTGTTGGTAAACAGACTCTCAAACTCCCTGCCTGCTACTCAGAAGAGCTTCCGTTCATCGTTTCTACCCACTCATCCCTTCTCCACAAAATTCTTTCATAAATATCTTGTTCAGAAAGAATTCCCTCTGTTCAAAGGTAATTTAAAAAACACAGTAACAAAAATAATTCAACTTGTCAAATCTATGAAACATATATTTTTAATTATAAAGAAAATGAGAAATTTAACTGGACAATAAAAAGATGGATGAAGGGCTTGGTGTGGTGGCTCATGCCTGTAATCCCAGCACTTTGGGAGACTGAGGCAGGTGGATCAGCTGAGGTCAGGAGTTCGAAACCATCCTGACCAACAAGGTGAAACCCCATCTCTACTAAAAATGGAAAAATCAGCTGGGCATGGTTGTAGGTGCCTGTAATGCCAGCTACTCAGAAAGGCGAAGATTGCAGTAAACCGAGATCGTGCCACTGCACTCCAGCCTGGGTGACAGAGCAAGACTGTCTCAAAAAGAAAAAGAAAAAAAAGATACATGAAGAACCACACCATAAAAAGTACACCATAAAGAAGCAGAAAATTTTGCCACGTATTTTCAACAAAATTTGAGAATTTAGAGGAAATAGGGCCTTTATGGGGGAAAAGTCCAATGTGGAGCTAGAGAGAAACAATGAGTAAAAGATTAGAACACCAAACTGTCAGAGGTAAGGGAAAACATGTAAGAGGTAAACAAAACATCAAAAGGAAGCAGAAAAGAAAAGAGTAGAAAGACTGCTTGAAAAAAAAAAAAGCAATAGCAATAATGACGGCAGGCTCAAAAAACCTGAACAAAATTATTTTTTTAAGATTTTGAAGGATTAATGGGAGGATGATAGGTGTGGGAAACCTACAAAGGGGTGATAATATATGCATAATTGGTGTCCCTGAAGAAAAATATAGAGCAATTGGAACAAGAACAAAATATTTTAAAACATACTTCAAGCTATTTTTTCTAAAATTTAGAAATACTTTAATCTCTACATTTAATAGGCACATCACGTTTTAAGAGGAAAACAATAAAGATCAATCAACGTGGATATATATCGTAGTATGTTCACAGATTCACACTATGTAGTAATTAATCCTGGAAGCATGTCCAAAAAAACAAATCAAATAATCTATAAATTGACAAAAGCAAATATTTGGCATTAACTGTGGCCACCCAGTTTCTGAATACCTTAGTACATCTAGGCAATTCTTCCCCACATTATCAGTCTTGTTGTGAAGTGCAGAGACCAATCCTAATTTGATGATGAGGAGTGAAAATGCTAGATACTCTCTTTCCCAGTCTTCCTTGTATTTAGGGCACAGCATGGTGATGTGGGATTCACCAATCAGTCACACTCATGTCATATCTTAACCCAGGAGATAGTAATGTGAGGGCGAGGGGTGAGGGAACTCTGTCTTTGGAAGTGGCCACAAGTGGTGGCTGGAAGGTCAGGTTTCTGGCACTGATACCTCAATCAAGTCTGGAAGTAGCAGTGGTGAAAATTGTAGTGTCTAGTACTTGGTAGCAGCCCTAACAGTTTCTTTTTTTGTTTGCCATAATATGCTGTTATTTTTGATCTTCGGATGCAGAGTTGAGCCAATTATGCTCCTCAGTTTATTTACTCTATGATCAGTTCATATACAGTAATTCTCTTATTTAAAATATGCATTCATTTCCTTTTACCTCCCAAGTAATTTCACTTATACTCTATATGTTACATTCTGTAAGATATATACCTATAATATAGATATCTGATATATAGATATCATATAGTATCTGATATATATCTTTATAATATAATATAGACATCTATATAGATATCTATAATATAGATATGTAGAGGCAGAGAGAGATATATTCATGTAAATTTAGTTTTGTTTTGGATGTATGTCATTTTAATTAATAAAATGATTTCAAGTTACAGATGTCATTCTGTATTTTTTGTTTTATTTTTTTAAATATACAACAGTTACACATGTTTATGGGGTATATGTCATATTTTGATACATGCATATGATGCGTAATGATCAAATCAAGGTAATTAGGATATCCATCATCTCAAGTATGTATTATACATTTGTGTTGGGAACATTCCTAATCCACTCTTCTAGCTATTTTGAAACATACAAAAAAAAATTGTTAACTATAGTAGGCCAATTGTGCTAATGAACAGTAGATCTTATTCCTCAATATAACTGAATTTTTGTATCCATTAACCAATACCTCTTTATCCCCTACCCACCACAACTTCTTCTAGCCTCTGATAACCATCTATTCACTAATTCCATGAGATCAATTTTTTAGCTCCCACATAGGAGTGAGAATAGGCAATATTTGTCTTTCTGTTACTGCCTTATTTCATTTAATATAATGACCTCCAGTTTCATCCATGTTGCTGCAAATGATAGGGTTTCATTATTTTTGTGGCAGAATAATATTCCATTGTGTATATATACACAGACAGACACACACACACACACACACACACACACACACACACACACACACACACATACCACATTTTTATCCATTCATTCGTTGATTCCATATCTTGGCTATTGTAAATAGCGCTGCAATGAACATGGGAGTGCTGCAGACATCTCTTCAACATATTGATTTCCTTTCTTTTGGCTCTGTACCCAGCAGTGGGAATGCTGAATCATAAGGTAGTTCAATTTTTAGTTTTCTCGAAGAAATTCTCTACTACTTTCCACAGTGGCTATATTAATTTACATTCCTACCCACACTGTAGGAGGGTTCCCCCTGCTGGTGCCCTCTCCAGCATTTGTTATTTTCTGTCTTTTTGACACATGCCATCTTAATTGCAGTATGATATTTCACTCATTCTGTTTTAACATGTTGTATCAGCACTGAGTTATGCGTCTTTATGCATGATGTTGTGCATGCATCTAGGTTTTTTTCTCTTATTCTAACTGCTGCATAGTATTCCACAGTGTGCACCCACTAGTTTTTGCCCATCTCTTTCCCCAATGAATGGATGTTATTTTCTACTGTGTACAGCTAAACAATGTTTCAATGCACACCCTAGTACATAATCTCTATGGACATCTGTGAGAATTTCACTGAGATATATGCCTAGCAACAGAATTGCTGAGTCATAGGGTATAAGTTGAGTTAATGTAACTAAAAACTGACAGGTTGCTTTCAGAAAAGCAGCAACAGTTACACGTGTACAAACAATACATAAAAATTCTCTACTGCTGCTAAAACTTGGCACTATGAAGCCTCTACTGCTGCTAAAACTTGGCACTATCAAGCTTTCTAAATTTTGCCAATCTGATGTGTGACAGTGATACTTATTTCTAGTTTTAATTTGCATTTCTTTAATAAACAATGTTATTCAGTATCTGTTCATATACATATTTATACCCATGGCTCACTTTTCTGTAGGATACTCTTTTTCTGATTGATTTAAATGATTTCCTTATATATCTTAGATTATCATCTCCTACACTTATATTCATTGTAAATATTTTCTCCCAATGTGCATGAAAATTCTGTCCAATGTTCTTCATTAAGCAGAAATATGTACATTTGCTGTAATCAAACCCATATTTTTCCTATTGTATGTGCTATTGGGTTTTGCTAAATACCACTACCCAAGGTCCAAAAGTATTGTACATATATTCTCTTCCATTAACTTTCTTGTTTTACTTTTTGAAGAAAAGTTTTAACTAATTTTTGCATACATTAAAGGATAAGGAACAAGTTGTATTTTTCTTCATAAAGTAAGGCTTTTTCCCAACGTCATTTTGTACAGCCTCTTTTTTCCTATTGATTTTAATATGCTCATTATATATTAAGTTACAATTTTCATTTATCTATGAATTCTGAGTTCTGTTCTATTGGTCTATTTGTCTGTTCTTATATCTGTACTTATATTTTTCTCATTATTTATTTGTAGTATGTTTTAATATCCAGCAGTGTAATTTCCCCTGCTTAACTCATTTTATAAAGATTAACTCGCCGGGCGCGGTGTCTCACGCCTGTAATCCCAGCACTTTGGGAGGCCGAGGCGGGCGAATCACGAGGTCAGGAGATGGAGACCATCCTGGCCAACACTGTGAAACCCCGTCTCTACTAAAAATACAAAAAAATTAGCCGGGCGTGGTGGCGGGCGCCTGTAGTCCCAACTACTCAGGAGGGTGAGGCGGGAGAATGGCGTCAACCCGGGAGGCAGAGCTTGCAGTGAGCCGCGATCGCACCACTGCACTCCAGCCTGGGAGACAGAGCGAGACTCCGTCACAAAAAAAAAAAAAAAAAAGATTAACTCAGCTATTTATTGATTTTTATTCTTCTATAGAAATTTTACCTTTAAAAATCATCCAAATGAAGAATAATTTCCTTTAAAACACTAACATTGGTCTCTATGTTGATTAGAATTGTATTGACTTGACTTATTAATTTGGAGAGAATGAAAGCATTATCTTCCCACTTATACAGAGTGTATTACTCAGGGTTCCCTAGAGGGACAGAACTGATATATATATATGTATATATATACATGTGTATATATATATATATGTGTGTATATATATGTATATATATACATACATATATATATATATCTCCTTAATAAACTCTCATCATGAGAGTTTATTAAGTATTAACTTACATGATAACAAGGTCCCACAATAGGCTGTCTGAAAGCTTGAGGAGCAAGGAGGGTCAGTCCGAGTCTCAAAACTGAAGAACTTGGAGTCCAATATTTGAGGACCAGAAGCATTTGGCACGGGAGAAAGATCTAGTTGGGAGGGTAGGCCAGTCTCACCTTTAGATATTTTTCTGCTTGCTTTATACTCACTTGCAGCTGATTAGATTGTGCCGACCAGATTAATGGTGGGTCTGCCTTCCCTAGTCCACTGACTCAAATGTTAAACTCCTTTGGCAACACTAGCACAGACACACCCAGGACCAGTAATTTGCATCCTTCCATCTAATCAAGTTGACACTCAGTATTAACCATCACAAGTCCAGCCCTTGTCAACCAGAAACCATACACATCTCCTGAGATCATACATAATCTTCAAATAAAGACAATAATAAGGTCATAATTATGCCTAACATAATACAACTATCCTTCGTACAACCAGAAACACACCAATTCCCAACCCAAATACTATTACATAAAGTTAACAATACTTAAATACTGATATGAAGTCAATAAATCTTATATCACATAATAAAGTAAAAGAAAATAAAATGAAGATATTTTCTTAGTACAAGTGTATATATGCACAAACATATTTTTAACAAAAAAGGAAGAAATGCTCATGACAGTTACACTCCTCATTTCTGCAGCTGGTCACGTGGTTGTAGCTGGTATTGATGACTACCTTCCTCTACTACCCATTCTGTATTCCCTTTGCCTTCAGCAAGCACCTCAGCAGGTCATGGCTTTTTTTTCCTAGTGGATTGATCCAAAACTTCATTCCTGAGGGGTCTGGACCATTTGTAGTACTGCCTGGACTGGGCAGTTGTAGTTTCCCATTGACCTTAATCAAAGGGCATGGTAATACTAACAGATGCCCTAATGGATCCCCTGTATTCCATGCATACCCTTCCTTACCTCTGTTAGGGAGTAGCAGGCTGATTTCATCTTGATAGTCCGGGTCAACCACCCCAGCCAACACTGTAACTCCCTTCTTAGCTTGTTGACTTAAAGGTAGGTGGAGCCCAAAGTGTCCAGGTGGCAATCTTAACTTCCAGTTTAATTGAATTGTTGTCTCCTGGTGGCAGCATTCCTCCCTCTGGAACTAAGACCTCTAAGCCAGCGGAATGCAGTGCTGCATGAGCAAGAATCAAAAATTTTGCTAGTGGATCGTTATGGGTGATGGTGAGTGGTGCCACTTCCACTTCTATCCCTTGATTCCTGAACCCATGAATCCTGGCTATGGGAGAAACAGTACCATATATTGGATGCTGATTCAGAGCATACACAGCCTTCTGGAACTTTGCCCCAGCCCTGCAAAGTATTGTCACGTAGTTTGCACTGGAATTGTGACTTCAAAAGGCCATTCCACCATTCTATGAATCCAGCTGCTTTAGAATGATGGGCAATGTGGTAAAACCAGTGAATTCCATGAGCATGAGCCCACTGTTGCACTTCTTTAGCCAAGGCAGAGGTAATGCTGTGTGGAATACCATGATGGTGGATAAGGCATTCTGTGAGTCCATGGATGGTAGTCTTGGCAGAAGCATTGTGTGCAGGATAGGCAAACCCATATCCTGAGTAATTGTCTATTCCAGTGAGGACAAACCTCTTCCCTTTCCATGATGGAAGAGGTCCAGTGTAATCAACCTGCCACCAGGTAGCTGGCTGATTACCCTGAGGAATGGTGTCGTATCGAGGGCTCAGCATAGGTCTTAGCTGCTGGCAAATTGGGCACTCAGCAATGGCCATAGACAGGTCAGCCTCGGTAAGTGGAAGTCCATGTTGCTGAGCCCATGTATAACCTCCATCCCTGCCACCATGGCCACTTTGTTCATGATACCATTGGGTGATGACAGGGGTGACTGGGGAAGGAGGCTGAGTGGTGTCCACAGAACGGGTCATCCTATCCACCTGATTATTAAAATCCTCCTCTGCTGAGGTCACCCATTGGTGAGCACTCACATGGGATAAAAATATCTTCACAGCTTTTGAGTACTCACAGAGGTCCATCCACATACTTCTTCCCCAAATTTCTTTGTCCCCAGTTTTTCAATCATGCTTCTTCCGAGTCCCTGACCATCCAGCCAAAGCACTGGCTACAGCTCATGAATCAGTACATAATCATACATCTGGCCATGTCTCCTTCCATGCAAAGTGCACAACCAGGTGCACTGCTCAGTGTTCTGCTCACTGGGAAAATTTCTCTTCACTACTGTCCTTCAGGGATGTCCTAGAAAGGGGCTGTAGTGCTGCATCTGTCCACTTTTGGGTGGTGCCTGCATATCGTACAGAACTATCTGTGAACCAGGCCCTAGTCTTCTTTTCCTCTGTCAACTGATCACAGGGAACTCCCCATGAGACCATCAGTGCAGGCTAGGGAAGAGAAGGCAGGGTGGCAGGAGTGGAGACCATGGGCATTTGAACAACTTCCTCATGTAACTTACTTGTGACTTCAGGACCTTCTTGAGCCTGATGACATATATATCACTTCTACTTGATGATGGAATGCTGCTGTGCATGACCCACTTTATAGCTAGATGGGTCAGAAAGCACCCAGTTCATGATAGGAAATTCAGGTCACCTGGTAACTTGATGACCCATAGTCCAACATTCAGTTTCCACCAAAGCCCAGTAACAGGCCAAGAGCTGTCTGTCAAAAGGAAAGTACTTATCTGCAGAAGATGGCAGGGCTTTGCTCCAAAATCCTAGAGGCCTCCACTATGATTCACCTATGGGGGGCCTGCCAAAGGCTCCAAAGAGCATCACTATCCGCCACTGACACCTCAAGCACTATTGGATCTGCTGGCTCTTATGGCTCATGTGTCAGAGCAGCTTGCACAGTAGCCTGGACCTCTTGCAGAGCCTTCTCCTGTTCTGGACGCCACTCAAAACTGGCAGCCTTTCAGGTCACTCGATAAATGGGCCAGAGTAACATGCCCAGATGAGGAATGTGCCTCTTTCTTGATTGTAGGAGGGGTCAAATGCAGCAACTTATCTTTCACCTTAGAAGGAATATCTCAACAGGCCCCACACCACTGGATCCCTAGAAATTTTACTGAGGTAGAAGTTCCCTGGATTATAGTCAGATTTATTTCCCATCCTCTGGCACACAAACGTCTCACCAATAAGTTCAGTGTGTTTGCTACTTCTTGCTTACTGGATCCAATCAGCATAATGTCATCAATGTAATAGACCAGTGTGATATCTTTGCAAAGCATTGGTCAAGGATGTATCTTCTGGATCCTCCCAGCTGGGATGAGCAGGTCTAAAGTGATTAATCCACTCCACCATCCCAAATTCTCTAAGCCTTTGGATCCTTTCCTCTACATTAAACTAAGGGAAATCAGGCATTTTCAGCTCACTCACAGTGGACCATCTTTTAATCCACATTTCAGCTAACCAAGCAAATACATTATTAGAACCTTTTTAACTCCCTGAGTTGCAACATTAAAAGCAGAGTCCCTATTTAGTGGGCCCAAATCGACAAATTCAGCCTAATCCAACTCTATGTTCTTTCCACCATTATCCCATACCCTTAATATCCATGCCCATGCCTGTTCTCCAGATTTCTGTTCATACAAATTAGAGAACTCAAGCAGTTCTTTTCAAGTGTGGTGCACCTTCTCATGGGTCACACTCTCAACCTCACCTCTAGCGGCCCGCTGGGACTTTCATCTAATTATAGGTCTAGAAGCAAACGGGGATGTTGGGGGTGGCTCCTGAAAAGAATCAACAATATTTTGCCTGGAAACTGCCTCAGGAGAGGCCATCACTGTGGCCTCAGGCAGCACAGGGTTTATCTCCTCAGATAAAGGTGGAAAGGCTGATGGCAGCATGGGTCAGGGAGGGGATGTTGCCACTACTGGGAATAGGAAGCTGTTTCTTCTGGCAAAAAAGGTTCATCAGAGTTTACAAACTCAGTGTCACCAGATTCACCAGCATCCTATGACACAACCCCATTCCAAGTTGAAGGGTCCCATTCTTTTCCAATCAATGCTCTCATTTTAACAGTAGACACCTCAACAGTAGGTGAGGCTGTGCATGCACCTTTCGTTGCAGGTCAGCCACTCACATGATAAGAGCGTGTGTCTGTTTTTCCACAATTTCAGCTGTTTCTCTACAGGAGATAAATTTAACTTCTTGGTTAAGTTTATTCCTAGGTATTTAAATTTTTGTAGCTATTGTAAATAGAATTACTTTCTTTATTTCTTTTTTAGATAGTTGACATACAGAAATGTTACTGGTTATTATATGTTGATTTTCTTTCCTGAAAGTTTACTGAATTCATTTACTAGTTGACAGTTACACTTTTTAGTGGAGTCTGTAGGGCTTTCTACATACAAGACTACATCATCTACTAAGAGGGAAATTTGACTTCCTTCTTTCCAACTTACATGATCTTTATAACTTTATCTTGCCTAAATGCTCTGGCTATAAATTCCAATGCTATATTGAAAAGAAAGGAGAGAAGGCACTCTCTTCAATAAATATTGCTGTGAAAACTGAATATCCATTTGCAAAGAATTAAAGTAGACCTCTATTGCTCACCATTTACGGAAACCAACTCAAAGTGAATTAAAAATTTAAATGCATGGCCCAAACTATAAGAAAAATAGAAGAAAACAGGAGAAACTCTTTATGACTGGTCTGGGGGAATCGTTTTTTTTTTTTTGGATAAGACCTCAAAAGCACAGGCAACAAAAGTAAAAATAGACAATGGAATTACATCAAGCTAAAAAGCTTCTGCACAGCAAAGCAAACAATCAACAGACTTCCATCAACTTCAACAATAGTGATGAGGCAGCCTACGGAGTGGTAGAAAATATTCACAAACTCTGCACCTGACAAGGGATTAATATCCAGAATATATAAAAGTTGGAGCTATATGAAGAGAACACATGGACATATAGAATAGAACAACACACAATGGGGTCTATCAGAGGGTGGAGGGTAGAAGGAGGGAAAGGATCAGAAAAAATAACTAAGAGGTACTAAGCGTTAATACCTGGGTAATGAAATAGTCTGTACTACAAATCCCTATGACACAGTTTAACTATGTAACAAACCTGCACATGTACCCCGAACTTAAATTAAAAGTCAAAAAAAGAAAAGAAATCTAAACAACTAAACAGCAAAATAATAATGATAATAAATTTTAAAATGGGCAAAAGATCTGCACAGACATTTCTCAAAAGAAGACATACAATGTCCAACAGGTATATGAAAAATGTTCAACATCACTAATAATCAGGGAGATGAAAATCAAATCCCCTATGAGATATCATCTCACTCTAGTTAGAATGGCTATTATCAAGAGCACAAAAAATGTAAAAACGCTGTTAAGGATGTGGAGAAAGGGAAACTTTTATTCATTGTTGATGGGAATGTAAATTAATATAGCCATTATATAAAACAGTATGAAGGTTCCTCAAAAATTAAAAATAGAACTGCTGTATGATTCAGTAATCCTATTACTAGATATATATTAGAAAAATAAAATCAGTGTGTCAAAGAGATATCTGCACTCTCATGTTTATTGCAGCATTATTCACAATAGTTGAGATATGAAATCAACCTTTGTCTAACAACAGATAAATTTTTGTTTAATTGTGGTATATATATATAATGGAATACTATCTAGTCATAAAAAGAATGAAATCCTGTCACTTGTGAAAATAGATGAACATGGAGGACATTATGTTAAAGAAAATAAGCCAGGTACAGAAAGACAAATGCTGCTTTCACTCATATGTGGAATCTAAAAGAGATGATCTCATGGACGTAAAGAGTAGAATAGTGGTTACCAGAGGCTGCGGAGAGGAGCAGGAAGCAGGAAATAGAGAGGGATTGGTAAACAGGTACAAAGTTACAATTTGAGAGGGGGGATAAATTCTGACATTCTATTGCATAGTAGGGTGAATATAGTTAACAATAATATATTGTGTGTGGTAATAAAATAGCCAATAGGAAGGATTTTGAATGTTCTCACTGCAAAGAAATGGCAAGTGTTTGAGGTGATGGATACATAAATTACCCTAATTTGATCATTACACAATGTAGTATACATGCATAGAAACATCACACTCTTCCCTGTAAATATGTAAAATTATTATGTATCAATTTTAATTTTGAAACTTAAAAAAACCCACCCTTCTTGTGTCCTTAAAATAGGTAAGCAATAGTTGCCCTTGCTATGTTCTTTCTAATCTATCACTTAATGATTAGTTAATATTTTAATAGCCATATTGAAGTATAATTGACATATAATAAATTTCACATATTTGAACTTCACATATTTAAACATATATTCTGGCTGGACAGGGTGGCTCACGCCTGTAATCCCAGCACTTTGGGAGGCCGAGGTGGGCGGATCATGAGGTCAGGAGATCGAGGCCATCCTGGCTAACATGATGAAACCCCGTCTCTACCAAAAAATACAAAAAATTAGCTGGGCATGGTGGTGGGCGCCTGTAGTCCCAGCTACTCGGGAGGCTAAGGCAGGAGAATGGCATGAACCCGAGAGGCGGAGCTTGAGTGAGCCGAGATCGCACCACTGCACTCCAGCCTGGGCGACAGAGCGAGACTCCGTCCGAAAAAAGATAAATAAATACATAAAAATAAACATATACTCTTTTTTTTTTTTTTTTTTTTTTTTTTTTTTTTTTTTTTTTTTTTTTGAGGCGGAGTTTCGCTCTGTCGCCCAGGCTGGAGTGCAGTGGCGCGATCTCGACTCACTGCAAGCTCCGCCTCCCGGGTTCACGCCATTCTCCTGCCTCAGCCTCCCGTGTAGCTGGGACTACAGGCGCGCGCCACCATGCCCGGCTACTTTTTGTATTTTTAGTAGAGACGGGGTTTCACCGTGTTAGCCAGGATGGTCTCGATCTCCTGACCTCGTGATCCGCCCGTCTCGGCCTCCCAAAGTGCTGGGATTACAGGCGTGAGCCACCGCGCCCGGCCAAAAAATAAACATATACTCTTGATACAAATTTTTATCAGATATATGATTGGCAAATACCTTCTCCAGTCTGTGGCCTATCTTTTCATTCTTTAAATTGTCTTTCAAAGAGCAGAAGGTTTTAATCTTGATAAAGTTTAATATACCATATATTTTTATTTATGGACTGTGCTTTTAGTGCTGTGTCAAAGAATTATTTGTCTAATCTGAGGTTACAAATACTCCCCTGTTCTTATCTATAAGTTTTATAGTTTTAGGTTTTATATAGAAACTTGCAATTCATTTAAATTGTTGCATGTTGTGTAAGCTATAAATTAGAATTCATTTTGTTTGTTGCATATGAATACCCAATTAATCCAGTACTGTTAGAGGGAAAAAATGCGACTATCCTTTCCACTCTGAATTGTCTTTGCACTTTTGTGAAAAATAAGTTGCTAATATAAGTGTGATTCTGTTTCTAGACTCTGTATTCTGTTCAATTATCTATTTGTTTATCTTTATGAAAATACTGGAGCACTTTTAAATGTATCTTTTAAATAAATCTTCAAGTAGTATTAATACTTCGACTAGATTTTTTTTTAAGTTTCACTATTCTAGGTCCTTTGAATTTGCATGTGAACGTCAGAATCATTTTGTCCATCTTATAAAAATGTCTGCTGAGATTTTGACTGAGTTTGCCTGAACATTGCAGATCAGTTTGAGGAAGACTGACGTCTTTAAAAACTTGTGTCTTCCGACCCATCACACAGTAAGTGCACCATTTAGGTCTTGATTTCAATTAGCATTTTTTTGCAGTTTTCAGTGAACATGACTTTTATACTTTTACAAGATTTATCTCTGTATATTTTATATTTTTGATGCTATGGTAAATGGTATTATTTTATTTTCAGGTTTTGATTGTTCCATGTTACTGTATAGAAATACAATGGATATTTGTATATTGATTTTGTATCTTGCAGCCTTTCTAGACTCACTTATTAGTGCTAGCATGTTTTTTGTAAATTCTGTAGGATTTTCTACGAAGATGACCATGTTGTTTACCAATAAAGATAATTTTATTTTTTTCTTCCTGATCTGGACGCATTTTTTTTTATTGCACTCGCTACAACCTCCAGTTGAATATAAGAATGAAAACAGACATCTTTACCTCAGTCCTGATATTAACAGAAGAGCACTGAGCTTTTCATCATTAAGAATGATAGTAGTTGTAGATTTTCCTCAGAGACCTTTATTAGGTTGAAAAAGTTTTATTCTATTGCTTGTTTGCTGAGAGTTTGTTTCCTTGCTTGTTTGGTTGGTTTTAATCAGGAATGGATGTTTGGTTTTTTTCAAAAGCTTTTTTGCGTTGTTCAGGAATACAGATCTTCCTTGGTAAATAAAAAAAAATCCATATTTAAAATTAAGCCCATTATCTTTTTTACGAGACACTGTATGTGTGAGGTAGTGTGTATGTATTTTCAATACAATCTTAATGGCTGTTTCTTGGTAATTATTTTTTCTACATTATTTCATATTTCCAAATTTCTGTCTTTCCTTTTATCCCCTTTTTCCTTCTTTCCTGCATTCCTGTAGATAACTAAAACTGTCTTCTCATAATTTAAAAAGCCATATATAAAAATATATTATATTTTTATTTTTGTGGTTATTGGACTGAACTTATGATAAATATATGTTTTATTTTGTCTTTGCATTGTCTCAATTTATCAAATACTTATTTCCTCTCAATGAAAAATACAAATATTTTATCTTCTTTCAATTTCCTTTGCCTATAGTATAAACCATTTCCTATAATATCTCCAAATAAAATAATAAAAATAGCATTTCAATTAAGTAAAGAAAGAATGATGTGTTTAATAAGTAGCATTGGTATAATTATCTAACCATCAGGGAAAAAAATAAAGTTAAATCCATATTATGCTTCACATAAAAATAAATTTCATATGAGTTAGAAATCTAAATGTAAAGGACATCAAGATACAGTTTATAAACTAAAATTGTTAAGGAGAATATTGATATTACTTCAAACTAGGGGATA